>NC_000012.12:38066188-38217703 GCF_000001405.40 Homo sapiens | reverse complement strand
AAAGACCTTCAAGAAGAGTTATTCCACTAACTTCCAAAGGTTATCAGATCTAGTTTTAAAGAGAATTGAAAGTAATTATAAATTAGAATCGTTTAAGTTTAATTTTGCTAATATTCTGAAATTGGGCACTATGCATAAATGTCAGCACTAATAAATACACTGGCCTGGATTTGGAGTCATGTCTAACATCCACATAACAAATTGATTTCACCTTTTCTGAAAATGTGTAATGTAAAATTCACATGTGTGGTACACATATTCTAACACATGCCACCATTTAACAAAGCCAGACATCTCAATTGTAGGACAATACTGTTAGCTAATTATGACTGTAGGGAGAAACCTTACTAAAATGAACTTATATTTACAAGGGAATAATAACTTGTTTTCGAGCCTTTGATTGGCACCAGAGACTGACCTCTGTCTTCTTTTATTTTTTAAGAAAGAATTATTTGATCCTTGTTATTGACATTTTGTTTGCCACTCTTAGCAGCTGTTTAACAATTACATTTATAAACCTGACAGGAGGCTTTTAGAAAACGGCTGAGAGTCTGTAATTGGGAAATGTACTTCACTTTTCTTGCTTCTGTTTTCTCTTCATAATAAGATGTTTGTTCCTTGTAAATAACTTTCTTAACTGTTATTGCCTTGAGGATTACATGCAGTCACTCTGACCCAGGTAGCCTTATTAAGGTGGTGGGGCCCTGGTGTCAGGCAATAATCAGACCAGCCAGGGCCGATTGTCACCTTCTTTCACTGCTGCTTGCCATGGCTGGAAATAAAGGGCAACAGTAATTACTTCTCAAACGGTAGGTGCTGAGAAGGCATTTTTTTAGCGATATTGAAAGAAAGTTAATAAAGGCACACCTATAGAAAAACAGAATAGAATTTGGAAGACCAGAAGGAAGTTTATTTTAGAAGAGATAATGCCTCTCTTTCTTTCTCTGGCGCTGATCAGGATTTACTAGCTCTTTCTACTAGTTCCTGAAGAAGAACAAACTGTACATCACTCCCTTTTATGAAACACTACCTCATTTCTAACTCAGTGAGATATAAAGTAGCACAGGTACACTTGTGGCTACAAAACATAATTTTCTGTGGTTATTTGAAGGGTTACAAAAGAGAGAAATAGGCTACACATAGGATTGTCTTAGTCCATTTTGTGCTGCTATAACATAATGCCACAGACAGGATAATTTATAAAGAACAAAAGTTTATTGGATCAGGGTTCTTGAGGCTGGAACGTCCAAGAATGAGGGGCCAGCATCTGGCAAGAGTCTTCTTGTGGCATCATCCCATGGTGCAAGGGGGAAAAAAGGGTGAGAGAGAAAGAATGAGAAAAGGGGAAAAACTTGTTTTTCATAAGGAACCTGCTCCTGTGATAATGATGTTAATCCACTCATGATGGAAGAGCACACATGACCTAATCACTCACCTCTAAATACTATTTTAAATACTTAGTGCAGTATTAAAAATATTCCACCTCTTGATGCTGTTAGAATAGCAGCTAAATTTCAACATGATTTTGGAAGAACCAAACATTTAAACCACAGCAGGGGTCATGATTATAATCCTGGGAGAACGCCTATGAATGAGTCAAACAGCCTCCTCTGCCCCATAGTGGGCAAGGCCAAGAGCCTCTCCACTGTGTCAGTGGGGATTGTATTAGGTCTTCTGAATCCTATGGAAACCACAAGGGTCTTATTGCATGGGTTCAATGAGCCTGGTCTCCTCTCCAATTCATCAGGGTGTTGGGCTCACAGATGAAATAATATACCATTGTGTCTTATTCTGCTGGGGCTGCCAGAGCAAAACACCTCAGAATGGGTGGCTTAAACAACAAAAATTTATTTTTCACAGCTCTGGTAGCTAGATAACCAGATTAACATTGGTGGGATTGGTTTCTGGTGAGGGCTCTCTTCCTGGTTTTCAGACTGCTGCCTTCTTGCTTTGTGCACACACGACATTTCCTCAGTGTGTGCTGGTGAAGAGAGTGAGAACCAGCTCTCTGATATTTCATTTTTCTAAGGGCACTAATCCCATCATACCAGGACCTTTCCTTCATGACCCAAGTACCTCCCAAAGACCCTATGCCCAAATATTATCACACTGCGAGTGAGAGCTTCAACATATGAATTTTGTGCGGACAAAAAATTTAGTACATAACACACTTGCCCTCAGATTGTTCCTAAGAAAAATTTGGGTGCTTGTAATTAAGGTTACACAACCTAAGCAAACTTCAAGATTACAAAAGATTTTAAAAGGGCCTGAGTGTACATTGTTAGCAAAAGTGACAATATCTGGTGGTCTGATTGTTGTCCATTGAGTGAACAAGGAAGTACAAGGTACTATCTATAACTGTAGTTAACTTCTTTTTTATGTTTTGCTTCCTCTCAAAACAATTCATAAGTAATTTGATAATATTATGAAATTATGGATTCCAAACAATAATACTCTACTGGAGGTAAAACTTTGACATACTAGATCATAAATTAGAAAAATATAGACTCCATCCAGCTTTGCAGCAAGGAAACATTATTAGGAAGAAATGCATTAATCCCATGTATTGTGCATAATATGCATATTAATTTTTTATAGGATTTTAAGCATTAATATCTAAATTTATGTAAGTTTGTTTTACATCTGCACCTGTAGTGTTTATGGTGTGTCCTATTTATTGATATTTTTAAGAGCTTTAGGCATAAGAGCAGTAGGCTGAAATTGTTATTAAATGACCTACTTGATATTAAAAATGTCAGTTGATTTGATTAATCAAAGGAAGTCCATCTAATTAATTAAACACAATTACATTTAACCTTTTCAGCCAACAGAAATCCAACCACATGTAGAGAGCTTGCTCCTACACTGTATTATCTGTAGCATAGTCTTACTTGTTAGGCTATACCCATATTGTCTTGTCTTACAGTTGGAATAGTTTTCCTGGGGGTGGATAACAAGAAGAAATGGATTTTTTAAGTAATCAAAGTCATACTAAGTAACACATTCTTCTTGAATGCATAGCCAAAGTCATACTTCTCTGTGTTTGCTGTACCTACTTCTATTTCCTGATCAATAAATATTTCATCAGCAATGACACAAGTAATAGAGTTAAAAGAGCATGTTACACAGGCTTTATATAATCAGTCCTCTAATACTACTTAGATTCTATTAGAATATTTTGTGTGATTTTTTATTTTTAATAGCTCGCAAAATACTACTTATATTAGGGGCATATCCCAAGTTTTAGAGATTGAAGGTAAGATATACAAATAATGTTTTGAAAATATTGGCCTACAAAGCCCAGAGGTTGTGCAAACCAGAAAGTCTGAATTAGAAGCAGATGTAAAATATTGTTGCCTAAACCCACTTAGTTATAGGAATGCAGTAACTATATGACTAAAAATTCATTTAATTCTTACAGTTTGGGGTCATGCATATACGCTAAAGCATATATTAATAAAAATATAAGAAAACCAAAGCAAGATTCCAGTTGAAGAAGCAGAAATGGAAAGCTTTTTTGGATATATTATCATATAGACAATGTCATTTTATAGACAAAGTATTTCTAATAAAAGTTTCATGATCCATAAGCCTTTTGAAATCAAGGATTAATTTTCTTTTTGTTTGCAGGCACTTGCTCAGTATGATTGTTGGTATTATTGATGACGTTGTTGTTAACTTATCTTGGCTTTCACTATGGAAAATACTGGTTTGTGTCTGGGATGCTACATAATTTTCCTTGTCTTTTTTTGTGTGTGCCAGGAAAGGGGAGGTGAGTCCTGGCCATACAAATAAGGATGAAAAGTTGTTGCCAAAAATAGCTACCACTCACTGACAATACGTGGAAGTCACTCTGCAAAACACTTAAATTACCTCATTTTATCTTCAAGTATTAGGGCCCATATTTTGCAGATGAAGATACAGAAACAGAAGCACAAAGAGATCAAGTAACTTGCTGCATAATACATATTCTATAAATTATAGTCAGGATTTGAACTGATGTTGGTCAAATTCCAGAACCTATACTGTAGTTTCACCATTTTGTGGCTAGGGCCTCATTTTAGGAATTAACAAACCAGAAAGAAGGTGAGAGCTGTTCAGCACAATCCCTTTAAGTGCATACTTAGGGCATGTGAAAAATAGATCTGTCTGGGGAGATTCCATGCCTCAGGACCCAGAAGAAAGTACCTGAGGGACAATTAGCAGCTTAAAGCTTTCTTCTCTAATTGAAATCTTGGAAATTTAAATTATTATATCAAGGTTAATACTAGTGGGAGTTGTAGGATAATGCTAATCTGTAACACTGCTCTAAAAATAAAAATTTTCTGCTAATAAAGTGGCTAGAGGTAGTGAAATACTGATTTATTTTTCTTTTTTTTTTAAATTATACTTTAAGTTCTAGGGTACATGTGCACAACGTGCAGGTTTGTTACATATGTATACATGTGCCATGTTGGTGTGCTGCACCCATTAACACGTCATTTACATTAGGTATATCTCCTAATGCTTCCCTCCCTCCTCCCCCCACCCCAAAACAGGCCCCAGTGTGTGATGTTCCCCTTCCTGTGTCCATCTGTTCTCATTGTACAATTCCCACCTATGAGTGAGAACATGAGGTGTTTGGTTTTTTGTCCTTGTGATAGTTTGCTGAGAATGATGGTTTCCAGCTTCATCCATGTCCCTACAAAGGACATGAACTCATCAATTTTTATGGCTGCATAGTATTCCACGGTGTATACGTGCCACATTTTCTTAATCCAGTCTATCATTGATGGACATTTGGGTTGGTTCCAAGTCTTTGCTATTGTGAATAGTGCCACAGTAAACATACGTGTGCATGTGCCTTTATAACAGCATGATTTATAATCCTTTGGGTATATGCCCAGTAGTGGGATGGCTGGGTCAAATGGTATTTCTAGTTCTAGATTCCCTGAGGAATCACCACACTGTCTTCCACAATGGTTGAACTAGTTTACAGTCCCACCAATAGTGCAAAAGTGTTCCTATTTCTCCACATCCTCTCCAGTACCTGTTGTTTCCTTTTATTGATCACCATTCTAACTGGTGTGAGATTGTATCTCATTGTGGTTTTGATTTGCATTTCTCTGATGGCCAGTGATGATGAGCATTTTTTGATGTGTCTGTTGGCTTCATAAATGTCTCCTTTGAGAAGTGTCTGTTCATATCCTTCACCCACTTCTTGATGGGGTTGTTTTATTCTTGCAAATTTGTTTGAGTTATTTGTAGATTCTGGATATTAGACCTTTGTCAGGTGAGTAGATTGCAAAAATTTTCTCCCATTCTGTAGGTTGCCTGTTCACTCTGATGGTAGTTTCTTTTGCTGTGCAGCTCTTTAGTTTAAATAGATCCCATTTGTCAGTTTTGGCTTTTGTTGCCATTGTTTTTGGTGTTTTAGATATGAAGTCCTTCCCATGCCTATGTCCTGAATGGTATTGCCTAGGTTTTCTTCTAGGGTTTTTATGGTTTCAGGTTTAACAGTTAAGTCTTTAATCCATCTTGAATTAATTTTTATATAAGATGTAAGGAAGGGATCCAGTTTCAGCTTTCTACATATGGCTAGCCAGTTTTCCCAGCACCATTTATTAAATAGGGAATCCTTTCCCCATTCTTGTTTTTGTCAGGTTTGTCAAAGATCAGATGGTTGTAGATATGTGGCATTATTTCTGAGGGCTCTGTTCTGTTCCATTGGTCTATATCTGTGTTTTGGCACCAGTACCACGCTGTTTTGATTACTGTAGCCTTGTAGTACAGTTTGAAGTCAGGTAGCGTGATGCCTCCAGCTTTGTTCTTTTGGTTTAGGATTGACTTGGCAATGTGGGCTCTTTTTTGGTTCCATATGAACTTTAAAGTAGTTTTTTCCAATTCTGTGAAGAAAGTCATTGGTAGCTTGATAGGGATGGCATTGAATCTATAAATTACCTTGGGCAGTATGGCCATTTTCACAATATTGATTCTTCCTACCCATGAGAATGGAATGTTCTTCCATTTGTTTGTATCCTCTTTTATTTCATTGAGCAGTGGTTTGTAGTTCTCCTTGAAGAGGTCCTTCACATCCCTTTTTAGTTGGATTCCTAGATATTTTACTCTCTTTGAAGCAATTGTGAATGGGAGTTCACTCATGATTTGGCTCTCTGTTTGTCTGTTATTGGTGTATAAGAATGCTTGTGATTTTTGCACATTGATTTTGTATCGTGAGACTTTGCTGAAGTTGCCTATCAGCTTAAGGAGATTTTGAGCTGAGAAGATGGGGTTTTCTAGATATACAATCATGTCATCTGCAAACAGGGACAATTTGACTTCCTCTTTTCCTAATTGAATACCCTTTATTTCCTTCTCCTGCCTGATTGCCCTGGCCAGAACTTCCAACACTATGTTGAATAGGAGTGGTGAGAGAGGGCATCCCTGTCTTGTGCCAGTTTTCAAAGGGAATGCTTCCAGTTTCTGCCCTTTCAGTATGATATTGGCTGTGAGTTTGTCATAGATAGCTCTCATTATTTTGAGATATGTCCCATCAATACCTAATTTATTGCGAGTTTTTAGCATGAAGGGTTGTTGAATTTTGTCAAAGGCCTTTTCTGCATCTATTGAGATTTTTTGTCCTTGGTTCTGTTTACATGGTGGATTAAGTTTATTGATTTGTGTATGTTGAACCAGCCTTGCATCCCAGGGATGAAGCCCACTTGATCATGGTGGATAAACTTTTTGATGTGCTGCTGGATTCGGTTTGCCTGTATTTTATTGAGGATTTTTGCATCGATGTTCATCAGGGATATTGGTCTAAAATTGTCTTTTTTTGTTGTGTCTCTGCCAGACGTTGGTATCAGGATGATGCTGGCCTCATAAAATGAATTATGGAGGACTCCCTCTTTTTCTATTGATTGGAAGAGTTTCAGAAGGAATGGTATCAGCTCCTTCTTGTACCTCTGGTAGAATTTGGCTGTGAAACCAACTGATCCTGGACTTTTTTTGGTTGGCAAGCTATTAATTATTGCCTCAATTTCAGAACCTGTTATTGCTCTATTCAGAGATTCAACTTCTTCCTGGTTTAGTCTTGGGAAGGTGTATGTGTCAAGGAATTTATCCATTTCTTCTCGATTTTCTAGTTTATTTGCATAGAGAGGTGTTTATTCTCTGATGGTAGTTTGTATTTCTGTGGGATCGGTTGTGATATCCCCTTTATCATTTTTTATTGTGTCTATTTGATTCTTCTCTCTTTTCTTATTAGTCTTGCCAGTGGTCTATCAATTTTGTTGATCTTTTCAAAACACCAGCTCCTGGATTCATTGATTTTTTGAAGGGCTTTTTGTGTCTCTATTTCCTTCAGTTCTGCTCTGATCTTAGTTATTTCTTGCCTTCTGCTAGCTTTTGAATGTGTTTGCTCTTGCTTCTCTAGTTCTTTTAATTGTGATGTTAGGGTGTCAATTTTAGATCTTTCCTGCTTTCTCTTGTGGGCATTTAGTGCTATAAATTTCCCTCCACACGCTGCTTTCAACGTGTCCCAGAGATTCTGGTATGTTGTGTGTTTGTTCTTGTTGGTTTCAAAGAACATCTTTATTTCTACCTTCATTACGTTATGTACCCAGTAGTAATTCAGGAGCAGGTTGTTCAGTTTCCATGTAGTTGAGCGGTTTTGAGTGAGTTTCTTAATCCTGAGTTTTAGTTTGATTGCACTGTGGTCTGAGAGATAGTTTGTTATAATTTCTGTTCTTTTACATTTTCTGAGGAGTGCTTTACTTCCAACTATGTGGTCAATTTTGGAATAGGTGTGGTGTGGTGCTTAGAAGAATGTATATTCTGTTGATTTGGGTTGGAGAGTTCTGCAGATGTCTATTAGGTCCACTTCGTGCAGAGCTGAGTTCGATTCCTGGATATCCTTGTTAACTTTCTGTCTCTTTGATCTGTCTAATGTTAACAGTGGGGTGTGAAAGTCTCCCATTATTATTGTGTGGGAGTCTGTTTGTAGGTCTCTAAGGACTTGCTTTATGAATCTGGGTGCTCCTGTATTGGGTGCATATATATTTAGGATAGTTAGCTCTTCTTGTTGAATTGATCCCTTTACCATTATGTAATGGCCTTCTTTGTCTCTTTTGATCTTTGTTGGTTTAAAGTCTGTTTTATCAGAGACTAGGATTGCAACCCCTGACTTTTTTTGTATTCCATTTGCTTGGTAGATCTTCTTCCATCCCTTTATTTTGAGCCTATGTGTTTCTCTGCATGTGAGATTGATCTCCTGAATACAGCACACTGATGGGTCTTGACTCTATCCAATTTTCCAGTCTGTGTCTTTTAATTGGAGCATTCAGCCCATTTACATTTAAGGTTAATATTGTTATATGTGAATTTGATCCTGTCATTATGATGTTAGCTGGTTATTTTGCTCATTAGTTGATGCAGTTTCTTCGTAGCCTTGATGGTCTTTACAATTTGGCATGTTTTTGCAGTGGGTGGTACCCGTTGTTCCTTTCCATGTTTAGTGCTTCCTTCAGGAGCTCTTTTAGGGCAGGCCTGGTGGTGTGAAAATCTCTCAGCATTTGCTTGTCTGTAAAGTATTTTATTTCTCCTTCACTTATGAAGCTTAGTTTGGCTGGATATGAAATTCTGGGTTGAAAATTCTTTTCTTTAAGAAAGTTGACTATTGGCCCCCACTCTCTTCTAGCTTGTAGATTTTTCTGCTGAGAGATCATCTGTTAGTCTGATGGGCTTCCCTTTGTGGGTAACCCGACCTTTCTCTCTGGCTGCCCTTAACATTTTTCCCTTCATTTCAACTTTGGTGAATCTGACAATTATGTGTCTTGGAGTTGCTCTTCTCAAGGAATATCTTTGTGGTGTTCTCTGTATTTCCTGAATTTGAATGTTGGCCTGCCTTGCTAGATTGGAGATGTTCTCCTGGATAATATTCTGCAGAGTGTTTTCCAACTTGGTTCCATTCTCCCCGTCACTTTCGGTACACCAATCAGATGTAGATTTGGTCTTTTCACATAATCCCATATTTATTGGAGGCTTTGTTGGTTTCTTTTTATTCTTTTTTTCTCTAAACTTCTTTTCTTTCTTTGTTTCATTCGTTTCATCTCCCATCACTGATGGCCTTTCTTCCAGTTGATCGAATCAGCTCCTGAGGCTTGTGCATTTGTCACGTAGTTCTCATGCCTTGGTTTTCAGCTCCATCAGGTCCTTTAAGGACTTCTCTGCATTGGTTATTCTATTTAGCCATTCATGTAATTTTTTTTTCAAGGTTTTAACTTCTTTGCCATAGGTTCGAACTTCTTCCTTTAGCTCGGAGTAGTTTGATTGTCCTAAGCCTTCTTCTCTCAACTTGTCAAAGTCATTCTCTGTCCAGCTTTGTTCCGTTGCTGGTGAGGAGCTGCATTCCTTTGGAGGAGGAGAGGTGCTCTTATTTTTAGAGTTTCCAGTTTTCCTGCTCTGTTTTTCCCCATATTTGTGGTTTTATATATATTTGGTCTTTGATGATGGTGACATACAAATGGGGTTTTGTGTGGATGTCCTTTCTGTTTGTTAGTTTTCCTTCTAACAGTCAGGACCCTCAGCTGCAGGTCTGTTGGAATTTGCTGGAGGTCCACTCCAGACCCTGTTTGCCTGGGTATCAGCAGTGGAGGCTGCAGAACAGTGAATACTGCTGAACAGCAAATGTTGCTGCCTGATCGTTCCTCTGGAAGTTTTGTCTCAGAGGGGTACCTGGCCATGTGAGGTGTCAGTCTGTCTGTACTGGGGGGGGGGGGGGTGCCTCCCAGTTAGGCCACTCAGGTGTCAGGGACCCACTTGAGGAGGCAGTCTGTCCATTCTCAGATCTCCAGCTGTGTGCTGGGAGAACCACTACTCTCTTCAAAGCTGTCAGACAGGGACATTTAAGTCTGCAGAGGTTTCTGCTGCCTTTTTTTTTTGGTTATGCCCTGCCTCCAGAGGTGGAGTCTAGAGAGTCAGGCAGGCCTCCTTGAGCTGTGGTGGGCTCCACCCAGTTTGAGCTTCCAGGCGGGCCACTTTGTTTACCTACTCAAGCCTCAGCAATGGCAGGTGCCCCTCCCCCAGCCTCACTGCCACCTTGCAGTTTGATCTCAGACTGCTGTGCTAGCAATGAGAGAGGTTCCATGGGCATAGGACCCTCCGAGCCATGCACAGGATATAATCACCTCGTGTGTCATTTGCTAAGACCGTTGGAAAAGTGCAGTATTAGGGTGGGAGTGACCCAATTTTCCAGGTGCCATCTGTCACCCCTTTCTTTGACTAGGAAAGGGAATTCCCTGACCCCTTGAACTTCCCAGATGAGGCCATACCTCACCCTGGTTCGGCTCACTCTCGATGTGCTGCATCCACTGTCCTGCACCCATTGTCTGACACTCTTGGGGTTGATTTTAATGTGTTTTTTTACATTTCTTGTACTTTTGTCATGGAAGAAATGTTGGATAAAGAGGAATTTGTCAAGTCTCAACTAATTTAGGTTTAATTCATGCTTTACATGAAAATTTTGTGTTTAGGCTGCTGAAAGCTTCACAAGACCATTGTTAAGAGGCGAATGTCCCATGTGCGTGGAGGAGGATGCATAGATTTGTCTGACACAGACTCTCTACAGGAATGGATCAACATGACTGGCTTCCTTTGTGCCCTTGGGGGAGTGTGCCTCCAGCAGAAAAGTAATTCTGGCCTGGCAACCTATAGCCCACCCATGGGTCCAGTCAGTGAATGTAAGGTTCTATGATTTCAGTGATGTCCTCAGAGGGAAATGCAGATACACCTGTCAGCAAATGTATGGATCAGCTGTTGTCCTTAATACTGTGTAACCATGGGAAAGTGGGACTTCAAACACGGACCAATGTTAAGGATCTGGTGGGTCTAGAATTAAGTCCTGTTCTTTATCTGATGCTATTTAACAAACTGAAGAATACCATCAGCAAGTTTTTTGACTCCCAAGGACAGGTAAAGTGTGTTCTTTTTTATTTTTCACCTTTCCCTATGAATAGAGTGACTTGTTTGAAATAAGGAAGACTTTTTCTTTCCGATTATTTAAATTAGGTGCTCACAGTTTTTAAAAATTGCCAAAAAATTGCAGAAAGAAGAGTCATCTCAATGTAGGGGTCAGCTTGCTTCTTAGGAACTCTGGTGTGTATGTGTGCCTGAGGATATACATGCCTTGTGTATGGGTATGAGTGTCTGCATATATCTGTATGCCTGTTTGGCTGTGTGCCTGTCGGTGCACGTCTCTGTTTGTGTGTTTAGATCAGTTGGTTTCATCTCTCTAAGGGTCTGTCTTCTGGGCATTGATGGTAAATCATTAATATGTTTGCTCTTTCTATAGGTTTTATTGACTGATACCAATACTCAATTTGTAGAGCAAACCATAGCTATAATGAAGAACTTGCTAGATAATCATACTGAAGGCAGCTCTGAACATCTAGGGCAAGCTAGCATTGAACCAGTTATGTTATATCTGTTCAGGTAAGCGTTCTACTGAAATGTAGCAGAACCATACTTTAAGAGATAAGAAAAACCTCTTACACATTGATATTGGTAGTAATTGATAAAATAATTTGTCATTCTTTACTGCACACAAACTAGAGTGTGACAATAAGGTAACCAGAAGTTATATATGTTCTCATAAAAATAAATATCTTATTGTTTTCAGACTTACATTTAGTTCATTTAATTGATGACTAAAGTATTTTGAATGACTCCAGCATGCAGAAGGGCCCCTGATCCATGCTGTTTCCATATCCAAGCGCAAGCTTGTCTAGAGCTTCAGCAAATCCAAGCCTCACTGCATTCCCTGCAAGACAAAACTGAGCCCGACAACACCCACTACACTGGTTAGCTGACAGTCCCAGCCCCTGCTCCCTCCTGGGCCCCTGTCTGTACAGTTCTGAAGTCCTGCAAGAATGTTGAGGTCCTAAGCCGACTTTCACTGAAACAGGTAAACAACCAGGGGCCTCCAGGGGTAGAGAACATACCCAGACAGGTTCTGTTGCCTGTAGGCTTGATGCCCTTCCCCCACAACATGCCGTGCTTGTCTGGCAGGAAGGGGGGTTCCAGAAACTTGGGAAACCTGGGCCTGTAGCTGTCATATGGAAAAGAGGCCTGGAAAAGCACCACTCCTGTTCCCCAGATGGAACCAGGTAATTGGGAAATACATGGGCACCAAGCCTGACCCCCACTCAGACCCAGGTGGGAACTGTAGCAGTGACTTGCCCCCTCTGCCACTCTGGCTGTACCACCACAGGAGGAACATCTGACCCCACACGTGAGTGGAGACACTAGGTGTGGGAGGTTCCAGTGGTTGCTGCAGCTGAACCTTCCCAACCAGATCCATGGAAGGCCATCCCAGATTGGTGCACACCTGGGTTGGGCAAGGACACCCCTCAGAGAGTGAGAGCCATTGAGGAGGGCTATCACAGAGGCCCCTTTGCCTGCTCTGAGACCAGGTTGGGGGAGTATGGGGGACCTCTCCCTCCTCCTAGCTGCTTCCAGGAGCCACTTCCTTCAAGATAGGCACTCTCCTGCCAGCCTGTTCCCATTTGGCTGCAATAGGCCACTGCCAACATTCAGAGAAAAGAAAGGAGCCTCACCTCTTTTCTCTGACATATCTGAGGCAGGTGGTATGCCCAGGGGACCTGGGGTAGAACCTGTACATCTGCCCACCCCCAGGCTATGCTGGCTTCATCTTTTCTGTGTGATAGGGGTAGGGTAGGAAATACCAAGAGGTCATCACACAGGCTGTGAACAAGTTCTGCAAGAGCCAGGTAGAAGAGCACTGTCCTGACATGCTGCACAGCACCCAGCTCACACACACATCTCTTATTTGAAGTTCCCCAAAGCAGGCTTTGAAGTCCAGGCTCCCCGAGAAGCCTGGGGAGGAAACTGCCAGGCTAAAGGGCCTATCCCCAAAGGTGCCACCCTCACCAGTTTCATCCAGACAATCTTATTTTTGCCCTGAAATTCTGGAGTGGGGGACAGGGAGACAGCAGACACTGTGCATTAGCCACCTTTCTAGAGAGCATCAGCCCTCCAGACTGAGGCAGGTCAGACCTCCACTCGGGCGTTTTTCTCACTGGTTGCCAACTGGGGGAAGCAGCACTTGTGAGCACCTGCATGTCTCCTCAGATCCTGTTCAGAAACCCCATTTGTGCCTTTGGAGAGACTGCCCCGAGCACACCAGCCCAGCAACTGCCATCTATGGCCCCCAGGACCTAATCCCCTTCTACATAGGGTTCAGTGCATGTGAGTATACACTGGGCTCGATTCCTGCCCACTAGTCCCTGGCAGATATCCCATGCCCACCTCATCAAGAGAATGAGGCCACACAAACACACCCAGGCCGTCATGGTGATGGAGTGGCTGGAGTCCTACTTGCCCACCCCTCATTGCTGGTTCAGAACCAGCTGTCTGACCACATCCCTACCCCGAGGTGGGATTTTGGGAACATTGTCCACCAGGGTCACTGACCACTTTTAAAGTTCCAGAAACAGAGGGCCAGTTGTTCCCCTGGAAGTTTGCTACATGGGATAAGCCAAGTGTTGCCTTCAGGAACAGGTTTTCCACCACATAGCTGCCCAAGGCCCAGGGCATCCCCAAGTTCATGTGAAGCCTACCTGCCATGTCCACAGCCCATGCTGACCCCTCCTGGAACCACTGGAATGCTTGTTTCTGGGCATGTGTTAAGCCCAGACAACTTCAGCCTTGCAGGACAACTATGTGCATCTGGCAGCAGTAGCCAGAGGGACTATAGAAAGAAGTTGGAGGTTAAACCAGATGCTATGAGAATACTTTATTAGGCAAAACTGCATACTATAAAAGTGCTTCAAAATGCAGCAGGAGGAGATGTGAAGACCCAAATGAACAAGTGCATAGTGACACATGGCTGTCAGAACACAGTAAAGAATCTGCACTGCTTCCCCACCTTTACCCAGAAAAGGAAAGTTCTAGGCCACCTCCTCCTCGTCAGCTGTGGCATCCTGATATTGCTGATATTCTGACACAAGATCGTTCATGTTGCTCTAGGCCTCTGTGAACTCTGTCTCATCCATGCCCTCACCCCTGTACCAGTGGAGGAAAGCCTTGCACCTGAACATTGCTGTAAACTGCTCTGAGACAAGCTTAAAGAGTTCCTGGATGGCCGTGTTGTTGCCAATGAAAGTGGATGATGTTTTTAGCCCCTGGGGTGGGATGTCACAGACGGCTGTTTTTATGTTGTAGGGGAGCCAGTCAACAAAGTAGCTGCTGTTCTTATTTTGAATGTTGAACATTTGTTCATCCACCTCCCTCATGGACATGCAACCCCTGAAAATGGCAGCCGCCATTCGGTAGCGGCCATGGCGGGGGTCACAGGCGGCCATCATATTCTTAGCATCAAACATCTGCTGGGTAAAGTCAGCCATGGTCAGGGCCCGGTACTGCTGGCTGCCCCGGCTGGTCAGTGGGGCAAAGCCAGGCATGAAGAAATGTAGCGGGGGAAACAGGATCAAGTTCATGGCCAGCTTCCACAGGTCAGCATTCAGCTGGCCTGGGAAACGCAGGCACGTGGTGACCCCACTCATGGTAGCATAGCAGACACCAGGTGGTTCAGGTCACCATAGGTGGGTGTGGGCAGTTTTAGGGTTCTGGAACAGATGTTATATAGAGCTTTGTTATCTACGCAAAAGGTCTCATCTGCATTTTCTATGAGCTGGTGTACTGAGAGGGTGGCATTGCAGGGTTCCACAACAGTGTCTGACACCTTGGGTGTGGGCAGGATGCTGAATGGTTTATGATCCTGTCTGGATACTCCTCCCGGATCTTACTAATGAGAAGGGTACCCATCCCAGACTCAGTCCCCGCACCCAGGGAGTGGGTCAGCTGGAAACCCTACAGGCAGTCACAGCTCTCAGACTCCTTTCTGACAATGTCTATCACTGACTCCATCAGCTCTGCACATTTTGTATAGTGCCCCTTGGCCCAGTTGTTTCCGGCCCCACACTGACCTGTAAGACAGTACAGCCAGTCACTCAATGGCCAGGTATATGGTCATCAGTGGTCACCACCACAATGCAAAATGCACCAAGTGTCAGGTGTGAGGTGAGAACACCAATTACCCTGCAGGTGGAGCAAATGAAACCCCCTCCCCCAGAGTTACAGGACAGCAGCCTCCCCTGTTAGAAATTAAATCACGAGCCAAACCTGAGACAGGCTAACAGACCTCCCTGCAGGTGGCTCCTGCCCATTTTCAGGGAAGGCAGTAGCCACGGCCCCAGCTCAGCTCCCTGCAGGGAGTTTACATCAGTAGCTCCTCACATTGAGACACCTGGGCCTTCCTCCCAAAGCCCGTTTAGGAGAGGCAGATCAAGCGACTAGGAGGATAGGAGGGTGTTCAGGGGCCCTGGCTCCACAGTTCCCACAGCGATGACCTTGGGGCATTCCCAGATTTTAAGCTACCCTGGCTAAGGAGCCGCACCCCAGTTCTCACCCAAGGCTCACCAAAGATGAAGTTGTCTGGCCTGAAGTTCTGCCCCAAGGGCCCCGAGCGCACAGAGTCCATGGCGCCCAGCTCCAGATCCACGAGCACAGCGCGGGGCAAGTACCTGCCACCTGAGTGGGACGGGAGGGCATTAGCGAGGGGAGGGCCGCAATTCCCAGGAGGGCGGTTGGGGAAGGACTGGGGTCTCACCCCTGGACTTATTGTAGTACACGTTGATACGCTCCAGCTGCAGGTCGCTGATCCCGTGGTAGGTGCCAGTGGAGTCGATGGTATGTTCATCAGAGATCACCTCCCAGAACTGCAAGAGATGGGAGGGGCCAGACAGGCCAGGGCTGAGTCACGGAGGCCAGTGAGCCGGAGGCGCCCCAGTCCCTCTCCCAGCCCCTCTCCCACCCCCACCCTCATCCACACCCCCATCCCTAGGCCGCCGTGTCCCTGGGGTCCACCCTGGCCGCCTCGCCAGCTGGCCAGTTCCACTGCGTCCCTGGCAGGGAGCCCAGGGGCCGCAACGCAGGGGCGCCAGCCCCACCACTGCCGCTACCAACATCTTCCCTGGCCACCCGGCAGGCCCGAGCTGGGCCCTCAGAGCCCTGGCTGCCAACCTTGGCGCCGATCTGGTTCCCGCACTGCCCGGTCTGCGTGAGCACAATCTGCCTCATGGCCAAGGTGGGATTAGGGCGGCAGGAGAAACGCGAGAAGGAGGAGCAGAGGCGCAGCGACCCAGCTCAGGTGTACCCACCTGTGAATCCCTTGGAGTTGAACGTCTGTTGGAGAGCTCAGGTAGCCTTGCTGTGGTCCTTTCCACGTTGGGGAAAGCTGGTCAGCTGGAGAACTTCCTACCATGTCTTTAGTAAGACGAAATCCCTAGCTGAGCTGAAACTGAATTTTCCTCCTATGTGGGAGAGGAAGACTCTTGTTTCCATATTCACAGAGTGTCCTAGATTGGTGACATATTTTTGTGATTGATGAGTCTTTTCATCTATTAGGAGATCTGTGATTAGGAAAGGCCTTCCGTATGTTAACTCAACAGGACTTAATTATAAGTTTTACTTTGGAGCAGTTCAAACCCGCAGTAAGCTATGGGTGTCAGAGATAGTCAGGCCTCTGATTTATCTAGAGTCTTCTTTGGAGTAGGATTAGCCCTTTCACCTTACCAGAGGACTGCAGCCTCCACACAGAGTGAAGGTAATATTGGATTATTAAAGCTGAGGATAGGTATTGGGATACGCCTGCTGTGAAAGATGGGCCATTGCCACTTTGCAGGCTTTTAGATTACCCAAACTGGGGAATTATTTCTTCTGGTAAACATTTTTCAGATGGGGTGCGGAATGCCTTGATCTAACCAGTGAAGGTATCAGTAAGCATTAGCAAATATTTGAATCTCCTGCAGAAAGGCATCTGAGTAAATTAGAGTTGCCAGTTCTCACCTGGATAGGTTCCTCAATGTTGGACAGATTTAACTGGAGAAGGAGAAAATTGCTGGCCATTTGGATCATGTCAGGCACAGAGCTCACACGGCTGAGTCACCTGTTTTAGTGTCTTGAAACGATTTACCCCCATAAACAAATGAGACATTAACAGAAACAAAGAATCCCTTCTAGGGTGAAAAGAATCATGAAAGTGCTGAATTATTTTCCTATGATTGGTACTTGGCGTTAGTAATTTATTACCATCATTCAGTCAGCCACAGGGGTCCTGGACTGAACGGCAAACCCTGGCCCATTTTTGTTCTTCTTCAGAGTATTCTGGCCCAGTTCTATGTATGCTGACCAGCACGCCCATAAGCTTCTTTGGCCCTTTCAGTGCAGGGGCCTTGGCTGTGGTGTCTACAAGGGCATTTCCTTTTACTTGGTCAGTCTGTCTTTTGAAGTCCTCTGCAATTAATTATAGTCACTTTTTGGCAGCAAAGCATCATTCTAACAAGCTCAAAATCTGAATGATGTTGTATGGAAAAGCCCTTGGAGGTCAGGAGTCCCTACCCATTCCAAATTGCAGCATAAGCATGAAGCACTAAAAAATCATACTTGGAATCAGTGTAAATGTTAACTTTTAAATCCTTTCCCAACTGCAGGGGCCTAGTAAGCTCAATTAACTCAGCTTTTTGAGCTGAGGTAGAGGCCAGCAATGCTTGTGCCTTGATTCTCTTGTGCTGACTAATAATAGTATATCTAGTCCTCCTGTTTTCCTGATGCATAAAACAACTTGCATCTGTTAACCACTCTTCCTTGGGATGGTCAAGAGGCTCATCTCTCTTAAGTCTGGCCTCCTAGAATAAATTTGTTTTATAACCTGTGACATGCTTTGGCTGTGTCCCCAGTCAAATCTTATCTTGAATTATAGCTCCCATAATTCCCATATATCATGGGAGGGACCAAGTGGGAGGTAATTGAATTGGGGGACAGGTCTTTCCCATGCTGTTCTTGTGACAGTGAATAAGCCTCATGAGATCTGATGGTTTTATTTATTTATTTATTTATTTTTGAGACATAGTCTTTCTCTGTTGCCCAGGCTGGAGTGCAGTAGCATGATCTTGGCTCACTGAAACCTCTGACTCTTGGGTTCAAGTGATTCTCCTGTCTCAGCCTCCCAAGTATCTGGGATTACAGGTGCCCATCACCATGCCTGGCTAATTTTTGTACTTTTAGTATAGACGGGGTTTCACCCTGTTGGCCAGGCTGGTCTCGAACTCCTGACCTCAGGTGATCCACCGCCTTGGCCTCCCAAAGTGATGGGATTACAGCTAATGGTTTTATAAGGGGGAATTTCCCTACACAAGCTCTTTTGCCTGCTGCCATGTAAGAGATGTGACTTTGCTCCTCATTTGCCTTCTGCCATGAGTGTGAGGCCTCCCCAATCATGTGGAACTGTGAGTCAATTAAACCTCTTTTCTTTATAAATTACCCAGCCTCAGATATGTCTTTATTAGCAGCATGAGAATAGACTAATACAACCTGTATGCCAGAAAGGCTGGGAGAATCTGTGGACTCTGGCAGATAAGTAGCTGGTTTTATGGTTTGTCAGGCTTTAAGGGTTATGTCCAGAGTGTCTAGCAATGAGGCCTGATACTTTCATAAATATTCTCCTATTATCCACTGGTGCCCTTTATCTTCCAGGACCACTTTCCCTTGGCGTGGGGTTGAAAACCTGTAGGTGCTGTCCTAATGTTTGTTTATTAGCTTTGCCTACTAGAAAAGTTGTAGCAGCAATAGCTCTAAGACATCAAGGCCACCCTGAGGCCACCTGGTCTATCGGCTTAGAAAATTAGGCTACTGGCCTTGGAATGTTCTCCAGTTTTGGGACAAGATTACCCAAGGTCTGTGCCTTGCTTTTTGGCTACATAAAGAAAAAATGGTTCATCCAACTTGGGGACTCCCACAGCTGCAGCAGAGCCCAGTTTCTCCTTTAGAGTATTGAAGGTTTGCTTGCAGTTCTAATTACATTCTAGGAGCTCTAAATCTTTCCCTTTAGTGTATTGTATAAAGGCTTGGCTACATGTCCAAATCTGGGCACCCATAAGCAGCAGTACCCAGCCATCTCCTAAAAAAACCCACAGTCATTTGTTGGACTGGGACCCTTGGATGACTAAAATAACTTTTCTATCTTCTAGGGATGTTGATCAGTTCCAGAGGTTAAGACAGATTCCACATATTTAAGTCTTTCAGTCAAAATCTGAGCCCTGTATGGTGATACCCTATATTTGCAAGTTCCCAGGAAATTTACCAATTTAACAGTATTATTATTTGAGTCTTCTTTAGTTGGGCTAGCAATGAGCAAGTCACCTACATACTGAATAATTGTGTCCCTTTCCAATTGTAGATTTCTTAAGTCCTCAGCTAGAGTATTTTCTAATAAGCGGAGGCTATCCCAGAACCCTTCAGAGATGACTGTCCAGGTTAGTTTTGAGGCTGAATGCGTATCTGGATCAGTCCATTCAAAGGCAAACATATTGTGAATCTGGATGCATAGAGATGCAGAAAAATGCATCTTTCAGGTTTAAGAATGTAAACCAGCTTGGATTCCCTGGGACTTGGGTAAGTATTGGGGACAATGAGGTGTATGGAGACAACTGCATTTATTAATGCTCTAAGGTTTCTGACAAATCTGCACTTGCTTTTAGGCTTTTCATCTGGTAACATGCAAGTATTGTAAGGAGACTCTCATGGCCTTAATAACTCATATGGCAGGAATTTGGCAATAAAGGTTTGAGGCCGGGCATGGTGGCTCACGCCTGTAATCCCAGCACTTTGGGAGGCCGAGGCGGGCAGATCACGAGGTCAGGTGATCGAGACCAACCTGGCTAACACGGTGAAACCCCGTCTCTACTAAAAATACAAAAAAAAAAAAAAAAATTAGCCTGGCGTGGTGGTGGGTGCCCGTAGTCTCAGCTACTCGGGAGACTGAGGCAGGAGAATGGTGTGAACCCAGGAGGCGGAGTTTGCAGTGAGCCGAGATCATGCCACTGCACTCCACCCTGGGTAACAGAGTGAGACTCCATCTCAAAAAAAAAAAAAAAAAAAAAAAATAAGGGTTTGAATTTCCTCTCATGCTTCTTGCCTTAAAATGTATTGTCTCTTCTGAGGGTGAGGAGCACTAGGCTGAAGTTGGATTTGAATAGGTGTTTAGTGCGTTTCCCAGAGCCTGTGTGGCCCAAACCTCAGGATTTACTTGAGAGAACACCTCAGGTGGTAAATGTGACAGCTCATTCTTAACTTCTTTTTTCCCCTGAGGGGTCAGGAACAAAAGGAAAACTTTCTCTGCTTTATGATCTGTGAAGGTGACCATGACTTGGTCTCCTGAGTCAATAAGCCTTTCCCCAGTAAGAGATCAGGCACTCAGAAAGTACTAAAAAGGCAGGTGAGAAATCCAGAGGCTTTGGAGGACAACTTAGAAGATAAGAAAAGCAGTGTTTTTGGGCATGTCCATCATGAGATGACAGGAGCCCATTGTATTGAATCAGGAACAGAGTCATCTGCTCTCACACCTAATAAGAAGTTAATACTCCTACCTGCCACTTCAGGAGTCACCTGAGGCTCCTCCATCTCTCAATAGCTAATAGTCTAATGGGAGTGGAGGCAGGAAGTATCAGGCCCTACCACTTTTGGCTATGCTGGGCTCTGATGATGTCTCCCTTGGAAGCACAGTGCATTTCCTTCGGCAGTGGCCGACCTTCTTACAGAAGGCACATTGATTTATATCCAAGGCACAGTGGCCCAGAGGCACAGACTGGGACTTTCACCTTCTCACTTCCTCTGTGAGGGCCAGGGGTTAAGAGGCTGCCTCTGAAGTGGTGGAGAGCACAAGGCTGCAGCTAGAAGCTGGGACTCTTGTGAGATTTGCTTTATTTTATGTCTTCTCTGTCCTATTCCTGTGATGGAAAACTGCAAAAGCCAAGTCTAAAAGCTGATCCATGGGAGTCTGGAAGCCTAAGGCTGCTTTTGGCGGCCTACTGCAGATATCAGAAGCAGACTGGGCTATAAAATAAACTCCTAGCAATGTCGCAATGCCCATCCCTTCTTGGAGTCAGGGGCAGTGTTAGTGTATTTCCTCAAAATCTAAATTATCCACCCTTGTAATAAGGCTAGGATTTCATCTTTTCCCTGAGTAATTTTCCAGATTTTATAAAAATTAAAAAGTTTTATCACACTCTTTTTATTCCTTCAAGGAGTCAATCATAATTTTTTCTCTATATATCCTACTTTCTTCCTAATTCATTTCTCTTTTCCAGATTCTAGTTGTCTTTTGGGTCCTTGTCAGGCACTGCTGTGCCTCCTACTTGATAGGTGCCACGTCTCTGGTTGCAGGCGGCCACCCTATTAGCACATCCTCTAGCCACTCCCATAATACACTGTTTTTCTACCACACAGCAGGTAAACATAAATATATGCAAACCTTGCCTGGTTAAATTTGTCTATGAATTTTCCTGGAACCTCTGAAAACTATTTTAGTCTTTCCTTGCATATGACTAATTCAGACATAGAAAAGGGTATATATACCTATAGAGTGTCCCTATTATCATCTGTCACATCCCAGAGAGGGCAAAAATTCAACTTTGTCAGCTGATAAGAGGCCCTACTGCATGTTGTTATAGTGAAGCTCAGGTGTTTCGAGAGTGTGGTATGTATGTAAGACACGACTCGAAGGGCAGGGAGAAGATGACGACTGGACACTACATAACCCTGGAAAACTAGAAGGCATTAATAACATGTTGCACACCTCACCAGAACTTGAAGGAGTCTGACTGTGTTCTTATGGAGTGCTTGGACTGGCAGGGGAGAGTTCAGCCCTAGCTAAGAAAATCCTAATATTAAGAGGCACTTGCATTAAAAGGGTAATCAATTATGTGCCATCCCTATTTTGTCTTTTCCTCCATCAAACATATAGAAGCCCATTTTAATTTTTTATCCTGACCAAGCATCAGAGAAGCCTGTATATAATGTATTTCCTCCCACTTAGTTTCTCTTCTATAAAACTAATTAAGCTGCAAAGAAAGGAGTCAGACCAAACAGGAGAAATGGGAAGGCTGTAACTTGTATATTGTAATGTATGAGTCCATTTTCGCACTGCCGTGACAAAACTGACAAAACTCTTTCAGGGAAAAAGTGACGTGCTGGATTTAGAAAGTAGGGTCCAGCTGTGCTATACCAGCTCATCAAAGATGACCTTACGGTTAAGAAATGAGAGAAAACTGTTAAGAAAAACTCTCATGTTCTCCATCTTGAGGCTAATCAATTGCAGGGGATTGTCATAAAAGAGGTTGTCGCTAAACAGGCATATCTGAACTTATCATGTAGGGCTGTTAAATACCACATTCCAACTTCTAGTCATAATGATGGAGAGGTTATTGCTGATTTTTTTCTGATAATTAAGGTACAAAAATACGAGGTTCCAAGATATCTCTTTTTTTCAGTGTCACTTGGAGCAGTGGCAAATTAAATAAGCAATCAGCTAAAAGTCAGAGGATCGTTGAGGAAAGTAAAAGCTAAACTGTTTGGAGCCTCTTTCCTGGGGCAGCGTATAGGCTACTACAAAACAGAGGCGGTGAGCAGAAAGGTGACAAGATGCAGAGCACTCAGATGAAGGACAGAGAGTGTAAGGTGGACGGTCCAAAAACAGAAAGTGGCAACCATCTTGTTTAGCCAAATCCATTCTTCTCAATATACCCCAGGTCCTCTAACCTTGTGAGCTTGGCTTCTAATCTGAGTATGACTCCCCCAGGTCTCTAACTTTTTGGGCTAAGTCTCTCCCCCTAACATTATACCCTAGGGCCTCTCACTTAAGTAGTAGTGGATAATCATTCTTGCCCACCAGAATGGCTTCACGACTCTAAAAGATGGCCCATTTGCCAGCTGATTGATTCTGTATGGCTTGTTTTCATTGGAGTGGGGGTCTTGTCTTTGTGTCCCTTCATGGTGTTGCTGAAAGATGTTGCTGGAAAAGAGGGTCCTGATACTGACCACAAAGTAGGATTCTTAGATCTTGTGCAGGAAAAAATTTGAGATGAGTCAGAGAGCACAGTGAAAGAAGCAAGTTTATTAGAATTGACTCCATTACAGACTTGGACATACTCAGAAAACAAGAGCAGGAATGCATTGTCTTTTGTTAGTGTCCCTACTTATAAGTAAGTATAAAGAGAAAGAATTATTATTAAACTTGGACGGTGTAGATGTAGTTATTAAGTAAGGGGTTATTGGTTTTAACAATGACCATTAACCCGTTGACCTAAGCTAGCTCATTAGTATTATCTTTCAGAAAAAATGCTGCACTCTTAGGACACTTATACATTTTTCAGGCTTGGTGGAAGATGTCTTGTATGGCCATAAATATTCTGCAATTTTAATTTGTGTCCAGCTAAAAAATATGGCTATTTTCAGACCACAAGTATTAATCTTCTAGATGCCTGGTGAGTACCTAGCTACTCATATTAAGATAGAGTATTCTAGTCATGTTTATTAAACTAGAAGCTTGGTAACCATGAGTTCCTCTAACACGGCAAGTCTATTCCTCAAGGATAAAATTTATTTCTCAGGAATTTTGTGCATTTTGTTTGATGGAATTTGACATGTTTACCAAAATGGCAGAAAGGAGTGAAATTAGTTCTCAAAGATTTCTCAGGAATGGATATAAAGTAAACAAAATAATTAAAGTTAATATGCAAGTTGATACAGTTGTTATTCAAAAGAAATTTTGTTTGAAATGCAATGAGATTTTTATTTTTATTTACTTATTAATTATTATTATTACTTTGTGACAGAGTCTTTCTCTGCTGCCCAGGCTGGAGTGCAGTGCACCATGTTGGCTCACTGAAACCTCTGCCTTCCAGGTTCAAGTGATTCTCCTGCCTCAGCCTCCCAAGTAGGTGCGATTACAGGCATGCATCACCACACCCAGCTAATTTTTGTATCTTTAGTAGAGATGGGGTTTCACTCTGTTGGCCAGGCTGGTCTCAAACACCTAACAACAAGAGATCTGCCCACCTTGGCCTCCCAAATTGCTGGGATTACAGGCATGAGCCACCGCTCCCAGACACAATGAGGTTTGTAAGTAATTCTAACTGATTTCCTGCTGTTGAGCAGGGAGCTGAGCAAATACAACAGATCATGGGCCTAAAGTAGGAGAAGACTGAGGACAAACTCTGGAACACATGTGATTAAATTAAGTATAATTGAAACCAAATCAAATTTAATAAGGCTGTACCTTTTAGTTTCAAGATGTTTCCATCATTTTGAAATGTGATGTTATTCAGTGGAAAAGAAAAATAGTGTTTATCTCCAGAGTAAAGAACAGGGTTCCCTGCGGGGATTGATTGACTGAGAGCTATGGCTCAGGATTAAAAATTCTTCTTTTTTCTACTCATAAACTAAAAATTAATTTCTAAGCCCCTGTTGACTAAATGGACCTCTCTGACATTCCAAAGTTAACCTGAAAAGCTAGTTCAAGCCACGGGTCACACATGCCTCATTATACTCTCCTCCCTTTGGTTTTAATTTTAATTTTTAATTTATTTTTGTGGGTACATAGTTGGTGTATATATTTACAGGGGTACATGACATACTTTGATACAGGCATACAATGAGTAATACATAATAAAAAACTTCCCCTCAAGCATTTATAGCTATTTTTGAACTCAATATATTGTAGTGTGTTAGTCTGTTTCTGCACTGCTATTAAAAAAACAGAGACTGGGTTATTTATTATCTATTTATTTATTGAGATGAAGTCTTGCTCTGTCGCACAGGCTGGAGTGCAGTGGCGCGATCTCAGCTCACTACAACCTCTGCCTCCCGGCTTCAAGCAATTCTCTGCCTCAGCCTCCTGAGTAGCTGGGATTACAGGCACCCACCACAATGCCCAGCTAATTTTTGTATTTTTAGTAGAGACGGTTTCACCATCTTGGCCAGGCTGGTCTTGAACTCCTTACCTCATGATCCACCCACCTCGGCCTCCCAAAGTGCTGGGATTATAGGCATGAGCCACTGAACCTGGCGAGACTGGGTAATTTTTGAGGAAATATTTAATTGACTCACAGTTCTACATGGCTGGAGAGGCCTCAGGAAACTTACAATCACAGCAGATGGGGAAGTAGGCACATCTTACATGACAGCAGGCGAGACAGCATGTATGTGAAGCAAAGGGGTAAGAGTCCCATATAAAACCATCAGATCTCATGCGAACTCATTATCAGAAGAACAGCATGAGGAAAACCACCTCCATGATCCAATCACCTTCTACCAGGTCGCTCCCTCAACACTGGGGATTACAATTCAATATGAGGTTTGGGTGGGGACACAAAGCCTAACCATATCACGTAGCTATTAATTGCTTTTCAGACGGTAATTTACAAATGTTTCCACCCATGCTGTGGGTTTTCTCTTCACTTTGTTTATTGTTTCCTTCACTTTAAAAAAGTTTTCTGACTTGCCGTAATTCCATTTGTCCATGTTTGCTTTGGTTGTCTGTGCTTATGGGGTATTATTTAAGAAATTTTTGCACAAACCAATGCCCTAAAGAGTTTCCCCCATGTTTTTTTTTTTTTTTTTTTTTGGAAAAGTTTGTTTGAGGTGTTACGTTTACATCTTTAATTCATTTTAATTTGATTTTTATGTGGCAAGAAATATGGTTCTAGTTTCATTCTTCTGCCTATGGCTTGCCAGTTTTCCCAGTCCTACTTATTACACAAGCTGTCTTATTTTTTTATTGTATGTTCTTGGCACTTTTGTTGAAAATAAGTTTAGTTTAGCTGTATGAGTTTGTTTCTAAGTTATCTATTTTGTTCCATTTGTCTTTATGTCTGTTTTTATCCTAGCATCATGCTGTTTTAATTACTATAGCTTGATAGTATAATTTAAAACCAGGTAATGGGATTCCTCCACTTTTGTTTTATACACTCAGCATAGCTTTGACTATCATGGTGTTTTGTGGTTCCATAAACATTTCAGAACTTTTTTCTATTTCTGTGAGGAATGTCATTATTTTGATAGAGATGGCATGAAATATATAGATTGCTTTGGATTGTATGGACGTTTTTAAAAATACTGATTCTTCCAATCTGTGAACAAAGAAATATCTTTCCATTTTTTTGTGTCCTCTTTCATTTCTTTTATCAGTGTTTTACAGTTTTAATTGTTGAGGACTTTTATTTCTTTGGTAAATTCCCACACATTTTGTTTTATTTGTGGCTATTGCAAATAAGATTACTTTTTTGAATTCTTTTTCAGTTTGTTGACTCTTGGCATATAGAAATTCTACTGATTTATATATGTTGATTTTGTATTCTGCAAATTTACTCAAGTTATCACTTCTAATAGTTTTTTGGTGGATATATTAGGCCACCCCCACATTGCTATAAAAATAATTGGTGGCTGGTTAATTTATAAAGAAAATAGGTTTAATTGGCTCATCATTCTATGGGCTGTACATAAAGCATAGCCCTGGCTTCTACTTCTGGGGAAGCCCCTGACAACTGACAATCAAGGTGAAAAATAAATCCGCTGCTTGCATATCACATGGTAGTGCAAGGGCAGGGGGAAAGTGCTATACATTTGTAGATGACCAGCTCTCATGAAAACTTACTATTGTGGGAATGGCACCAAAGGAAATGATGCCAAACTGTTCATGGAAATCCTGCCCTCCTGTTTCAATCACCTCCCCACTAGGCCCACTTCCAACATTGAGGATTACATTTCAATAGAACATTTTGGTGGGAACACATATCCAAATTATATTGTTTTGCCCCTGGCCATTCAAAATCTCATATCCTTCTCATATTTCAAAATACGATCATGACTTCCCAACAATCCCCAAAGTCTTAACTCATTTCAGCCTTAACTCAAAAGTCAAAAGTCTCATCTAAGACAAAGCTAGTTCCTTCCTCCTATAAGCCTAAAATACAAAAAACAAGTTAGGTACTTCCAAGATACAAATGGGGCACAGGCATTGGGTAAATACTCCTATTCTAAAAGGAAGAAATCAGCTAAAAGAAAGGGGCCACAGGACCCATGCAGGTCTGAAACCCAGAATGGGAGTTATTGAATTGTAAGGCTCCAAAATAACTATTTTTGACCCTATATCCCATTTCCAGGGCACATTAATGCTTTGGGAAGTTTTGACCTTGTGTCTTTGCATGGTTCAGCCCCCACAGCTGCTCTCATGGACTGGTATTGGGTGCCTCTGGCTTTTCCAGGTCCAAGGTGCAAGCTGTAGCTAGATCTACCATTCTGGAGTCTGGAGGACAGTGATCCTCTCCTCACAGATCTACTAGTCTATGCCCCAGTAGGGAGCCTACATGAGGACTGTAACCCCACATTTCTTCTCTGCATTGTTTTAGTAGAGGTTCTCCATGAGAGCTCCACCTCTGCAGCATGCTTCTGCCTGCACACCCTGGCTTTTACATACACCCTTTGAAATAAAGGTAGAGGCTCCCAAGTCTCAACTCTTGCATTTTGTACACCCACAGGCGTAACAGCACATGAAAGCTACCAAGGCTTATGGCTTGCACCCTCTGAAGCAGTGACTATAGTTGTAACTGGGCCAATTTTTGCTACACCTGGAGCTGGAGCAGTGGCTACGATGCAGGGAGCCATGTTCCAAGGCTACCCAAGGCAGCAGGTCCTGGGCCTGATCCCAGAAACTATTCTCTTCTTTTAGGACTCAGGGTCTGTGATGGGGAGCTGCATTTTAGCTTTCTAAAATGCATTCAATTCCTCTTTCCCATTGTCTTGGCTATCAACACTTGCTTTTTTTCAGGTTATACAAGTATCTCTAACAAGTGGTTGCTCCACAGCCTGCTTGAGTTTCTCTCTTATAAAAGCTATTTATTTTTCTGCCACATAACTAGGCTGCAAAGTTCTCAAGATTTTCCACTACGCTTCCCTTGTAAGTATAAGTTTCAACTTTTTTTTTTTTTTTTTTTTTTTGCTGCAACATGTATGCATAGGTTGTTAGAAGCAGCCAGGCCACATCTTGAATGCTTTGCTACTTAGACATTTTTCCAACAGAAACCCTAAATCATCACTTTCAAATTCAAACTTTTATGTCCAGATCACTATCAGCATTTTGGTCACAGCCATACAACCAGTCTCTAAGAAAATCTCAAGTTTTCTTCATTTTTCTATCTTCTTCTAAGTCCTGCAAACTCTTCCAACCTCTGCCTGTTTACCCAATTACGAAGCTGATTCCACATTTTCAGGTATGCTTATAAAAATTTTCCACTCTTTGGTGCCAACTTTCTGTATTAATCTATTTTTGCATCACTATAAATACCTGAGACTGGATAATTTATTTTTTAAAAAGGAGGTTTAAGTGGCTTTTGACTCTACAGGCTGTAGAGAAGACATAGCACTGGCATACACTTCTGGGAAGGCCTCTGGAACTTTACAGTCATGGCAGAAGTTGAAGTAGAATCTTGCATATTGCAGGGCAAAAAGCAGGAGCAAAAAACAGGGGTGAGTTTTTACACATTTTTAAATAACCAGATCTTAGGGGAACTCACTCACTATCATGAGGATAGCACCAAGTGGGATGATGCTAAGCCATTTGTGAGTAATCCACCCCAATGGTTAAATCACCTTTCACCAGGCCCACCTCCAACATTGAGAATTACATTTAAATATGAGATTTGGGAGGGGACACACATTCAAACTCTATCAGAGGAGTCTTTATGCTTTTTCAAATATAAGATTATATCATCGGCAAAAAAGATAATTTAACTTCCTTTCCAATTGGGATGCCTTTATTACTTTCTCTTGTCTGATTGCTCCAGATAGGACTTTCAGAATTATGCTGAATAACAGTGGTAAAAGTGGATATTATGGTCATCTTCCAGATTATAGAGGAAAGGCTTTTACTTTTTCCCCACTTACAGTGATACTAGCTGTGGGTCTGTCATATCTAACTTTTATTATGTTGAGCTATCATTTCATACCCAGTTTTCAAAGGGTTTTTAATTATTAAAGAATATTAAATTTTATTAAATAATTTTTTAGCATAATTGAAATGATTATATGGATTTTGTCCTTCATTCTGTTTTTTTTGTTTTGTTTTGTTTTGTTTTGTTTTGTTTTTTTGGTTTTTTTTTTTTGATGAAGTCTCCCTCTGTCACCCAGGCTGGAGTGCAATAGCATGATCTTGGCTCACTGCAACCTCCACCTCCCAGGTTCAACTGATTCTCCTGCCTCAGCCTCCCGAGTAGCTGGGATTACAGGTGCCCACCACAGCACCTGTCTAATTTTTGCATTTTTAATAGAGATGGGGTTTCACTGTGTTGGCCAGTCTGGTTTTGAACCCCTGATCTCAGGTGATTCACCCACCTTGGCTTCCCAAAATGCTGGGATTACAGGCATGAGCCACTGCACCTGGCCCCTTCATCCTGTTTATATGATATATCACATTGATTGATTTGCATGTTGAACCATCGTTGCACCTCTGGGATAAATCCCACTTGGTCATTATGAATTATTTATTTATGTACTGCTTAATTCAGTTTGCTAGGTTTTTTGCAAATTTTTGCATCAATATTCTCAGATATGGGCCCATAGTTGGCTTTTTTAATGTGTCTTTGTCTGGTTTT
Source organism: Homo sapiens (assembly GCF_000001405.40). Lineage (NCBI taxonomy): Eukaryota > Metazoa > Chordata > Mammalia > Primates > Hominidae > Homo > Homo sapiens. The sequence goes on along the minus strand of NC_000012.12, from coordinate 38,188,160 downwards.
GATATCAGTTTAATACTAGCCTCAAAGAATGAATTTGAAAATCTTCTTTCCTTCTCTATTTTTCAGTCTGGTCCTACATACTTTTTTATTATGGCTTTAATTTTGTTATTCATTATTGGTCTGTTCAGGTTTTTGATTTTTTCCTAGTTCAATCTTGGTAAGTTGTGTTTCTCTAAGAATTTCCTCTAGGTTTTCTAATTTGTTGGCATACAATTGCTCATAGTAGCCACTAATGACCCTTTGATTTTCTGAAGCATTACTTGTAATGTATCCTTTTTCAACTCTGATTTTATAAATTTGTATCTCCTCTGTTCTTCAGTTAGCCTGTCTAATTATTTGTGAATTGTTTTACTTTTCAAAAAAAATCAACTTTTTGTTTCATTGATCTTTTGCATTGTTTTCTTCATTTTAACTTTATTTCCACTCTAATCTTTATTATTTCTTTTCTTCTAATTTTGAGTTGGTTTGGCCTTTTTATTCTATTTAATTAAGATGCACTGTTAGGTTATTTATTTGAAGTTTCTCTGTTTTTTATATATGCACTTACAGTTATAAATTTTTGTTTTATAATAGTACCTCTTTTACTATATTCCGTAGGTTTTGCTATGCTATGTTTCCATTATCATTTGTTTCAAGAAATTTTTCTATTTTCTTTTTAACTTTTTTATTGGCCTAGTGATTATTCAGGAGCATACTGTTTAATGTTCAAGTGCTTGTATAGTTTCTGAAATTCATTTTTAATTGATTTCTAGTTTTATTCCATTGTGGTCAAAGAAAATGCTTGATATTACTTCAATTTTTTTGAATGTTTTTAGACATGTTACTTAACATATGGTCTATCCTGGAGAATAACCCACGTGCTGAGGAGAAGAATGTGTATTCTGTAGCTGTTGGATGAAATTTTCTGTAAATAACTATTAGGTTCATTTGTTCTATAGTGCAGATTAGGTCTGATGTTACTTTGTTGATTTTCTGTCTGGAAGGTCTATCCAATGACTAAAGTGGGGTGTTGAAGTGTCCAGCCATTATTGTATTGAGGTCTCTTTCTTTAGCTCTTATAATATTTACTTCATTTATCTAGGTGCTTTAGTGTTGGGTGCATATATGTTTCCAATTATTATATCCTCTTGATGAATTGATCTCTTTATTATTATATAATGACCTTCTTAATCTCTTCCTACAGTCTTTTGTTGAAATCTATTTTTGTCTGGTATAAGTGTAGCTATTTCTGCTCTTTTTTGGTTTCTATTGGCATGGAGTAACTTTTGCCATCCTTTTATTTTCAGTCTAAATGTATTTTTATAGGTAAAGTATGTTTTTTTTTAGGTCACAGATTATTGTCTTGCTTCTCTATGCATTCATCCATTATTTGTCTTTTGATTGGAGTATTTAGTTCATTTACATTCAACATTATTATTGATAAGCACTTACTCCTGCCATTTTGTTATTTGTTTTCTGATTGATTTTTGTCCTCTTGTCCTTCTTTTCTGTCTTCCTGTCTTCCTTTTAGTGAAGGTGGTTTCTCCTGTAATACAATCTTATTTCTTCCTTTTTACTTTTTGTACATCTGTGGTATGCTTTTTGATTTGAAGTTACTGTAAGGCTTGAAAATAATATCTTATAACACATCATTTTAGACTGAACAATTTTTCATTGATTGCACAAACAAACAAGCAGAGCAACTAATAAAAACTCTACACTTTAATTTTATTGCCATTCTTTTAAACTTTTTGTTGTTTCTCTTCATTCCCTATTTTACTGTCTATGTCTTGGAAATATGTTGTAGTTATTATTTTTTATTGGTTTATTGCTTACTGTTTCTACTTGAGTTTTTTTTAATTTTTTTATTATTATACTTTAAGTTTTAGGGTACATGTGCACACTGTGCAGGTTAGTTACATATGTATACATGTGCCATGCTGGTGCGCTGCACCCACTAACTCGTCATCTAGCATTAGGTATATCTCCCAATGCTATCCCTCCCCCCTCCCCCCCAGCCCACAACAGTCCCCAGAATGTCATGTTCCCCTTCCTGTGTCCATGTGATCTTGCACACCATAATTACCATGTTATAATATTCTGCGTTTTTCCGTGTGCTCTTACTAGTGACTTTTGTACCTTCAGATGATTTCTTATTGCTCACTCACTTTTTTTCTTTCAGGTGAAGAACTCCCTTTAGCATTTCTTGTAGGACATGTCTGGTGTTAATGAAATCCCTCAGTTTTTGTTTGTTGGGAAAAGTTCTTATTTTCCATTAAGTTTAAAGGACGTTTTTGCCATATACATTATTCTAAAGTAAAAGTCTTATTTTTCCTTTAGCTTTTTTAATATGTCATGCCATTCTCTCAGCCTGTAAATTTTCCCTTGAAAAGTCTGCTGTCAGATATATTGGAGTTCCACTGAATGTTATTTGTTTCTCTTCTCTCGCTGCTTTTAGAATCATTTATTTATCCTTAACTTTTGGGAGTTCAGTTAAGTGCCTTGAGGTAGTCTTTGGGCTAAATCTGCTTGATGTTCTGTAACTTTCTTGTACTCAAATGTTGATATCAAATGTTGGGGAATTGTTTAATATTATTTAACACTATTTCTTTAAATAAATATTTAACTCCTATTTCTTTTTCTACCTCTGCTTTAAGGCCAATAACTCTTAGATTTGCTATTTTGAGGCTATTTTTTAGATTTTGTAGGCATGCTTTATTTTTTATTCTTTTTTGTCTCCTCTGACTTTGTAGTTTCAAATAGTCTGACTTTAAGTTCACTAAATCTATCTTCCTCTTGATCAATGCTTTTAAGTAATTCTGATGCATTCTTCAGTATGACAATTGCATTTTAACTTCAAATTTTCTGCTTTATTCTTTTTATTTCAATCTTGTTGTTAAATTTATCTGATAGAATTTTGAATTTTTTCTCTGTGTTATATTGCATTTCTTTGAATTACCTCGACCAGCTATTTTGAATTTCCTTTATGAAAGGTCACATAATCTCTGTTTTTCCAGGATTTGTCCTTGGTGCCTTATTTAGCTTGTTTGGTGAGGTCGTGTTTTCCTGGATGGTCTTGATACTTGTAGATGTTCATCTATATCTGGGCATTGAAGAGTTGTCTCTTGTAGTCTTCAGAGTCTGGGCTTGTTTGTGCCCATTATTTTTGGGAATGCTTTCCAGGTATTCAAAGAGACTTGGGTCCCAAACACAATAACACAGTAGTTTATGCAAACATGTAGAGGTGCTGCCTTGGCGGCCTTGGATTAACATCAAGAAAAATTATCTTGATTTATCAAGTAGGGACTCTTGTTCTCTTCCCTTAATTTCTCTCAAACCAGCAGAGTCTCTCTTTCTGTGCTGAGGCATGAGGAGCTGGAGTTGGGGTAACATAAGCACCCCTGTGGCCACCACCACTGAGACTGTGCTGGTTCACACCTGAAGTAGGCACAGAACTTGGTCTCACCCAAGGCCCACTGTAACCACTACTTGGCTACCATATAAGTTTACTCAAAGCCCTAGGACTCCAGGATTAATAGATGGCAAAGTCAGCCAGATTTGTGTATCTGCCTATAGGGTGGCAAGTTCCCCTAGCCATGAGTGGGTCCATAGGTGCTAGGGAGCCAGAGATTAAAGTATAGAATCTTCAAAATTTACCTGATCTTCTATTTTACTGTAGCTAACCTGGCACTTAGGGCATAAAACAAAATATTTTCTACCCTTCCTTCCCCTGTCTGCAGGCAGAGGAGCCTCTTCTATGACTGCCAACACCACCAGCCCACGGGAGGGTTCTGCCAAATCATCATCAATTTCTCACTTAAAGCCCAAGGACTCTTTAGTTTGCTTGTGATAAATTCTGCAATGCCTGAGACTCGACCCTTGGCCCAGGGCAAGTGCAGAAATGCTGGCCAAGACCTTAGGTCTGGACTCAGGGGCTCTAAGAATCTGCTTGGTGCTCTACCCCACTGTGGCTAAGCTGGTATATGAGGTGCAACACAGAGTTCCCTTTACTTTCCCCCTGCTTTTCTCAAACAGAAGAAGTCTTTCACCATAGCTACCACAGCTGGAAATGTGCTGGGTCACACCTGAAGTTAGCACTTCTCAGAGCCCAATACCCATGGTGTATTACCTGGGTATCACTGTTTTTTATTCTGGGTACTGGGGTTCTTTAGTCAGCAGGTGATGAATTCTGCCAGGTCTTTACTGACATGGCAACACTGACTTTAATGTTAAGTCCTCCAGTCACTGTGCTCTCTCTCTCACAAATTCACAGGTTTCTCTGTGGCTTGTGGCTGCTGCTGGGTGGGGGGTGGGGTAATGGTGTTGTGAGCACTCCCTTAGCTGCTCTGGCTGGTGTCTCAGTAGGCCACATTCTCCCCACCCTCCACATTCCACTGGCTCCAAGCCCAGCTCCGCAGTATGGCTTGCTTAATAATGGAAGTCCTTGTGGCCTAGACTGCCCCTTAAGTTCTCTTAGGGTCCAATAGCACTTCAACTCATGATGGCAAGGCTTGTAAAGACTCAAGCTCCCAGCACCAAGATGGGAGATTTTCCTTTTGCTAGGGCCAATCAAAATTCTCCTCCTATTGGCAGATGTCAGCTGAGTACAATCTGGCTCTGCTTTTTACTGTGACAGGGTAGTACTGAGTTTATTGCAAAGCCTCAGAAACTGTGCTCTTCCTCTCCCAAACATACAATCTCTGCACCATGTGGTCACTACTGGTGGTTGAAAAAGAGGTGGCATCGGTGTTTCTAGGCTGTCATTTTTTTGTCTTCTCCAATGTCTTTTTCAGTGATATGAAGTTAATACCAGATACTGTGATTGCTCACCTAATTTTTGGTCCCTTTGACAGTGCTTCTTGAATATAGTAAGTTGTGAAAATATGGTGTTTTGACATGGGGGATGAGTGGTGTAGGCTTCTATTCTGCCTTCTTACTCTGTCTCTGCCTTAAATTTTCTAGATTCAGGGAGTATGTTTGTAGGTTTGTTACGTGGATATATTGTGTGATGCTGAGCTATGTGGGACATTGTTGATCCCATCACCACAGTATTGAGCATATATTGTGGGAATAATTGATCGTATCACCAAGGTAGTGAGCATAGTACCCATAGTTTCTCACCCCTGCCCTCCTCCTTCATCTAGTAGTTCTCAGTGTCTATTGTTGAAATCTTTATATTCATCAGTACTCCATGTTTAGAGCCCACTTACAGGCAAGAACATGTGGTACTTGGTTTTCTGTTCCTGTATTAATTTCCTTAGGATAATGGCCTCCAGATGCATCCATGTTGCTGCACAGGACATGATTGTATTTTTTTTAATGTGTGCATAGTATTTTATGGTGTTTATGTAGCACATATTTCTATCCAAATTATTGATTCACACATAATTTAATTCCATGCCTTCCCTAATGTGAATAGCAATATGATGAATATACAAGTGCACGTGGGGTTTCTTTTTGTAGAATTTTTAATTTTCTTTTTTTTTTTTTTAATTAAAAATATATATTTTAATTTGGATAATTCAACTATTGGTTAAGAGAGAGAAAAATCTATACATGTTGATTTGGAATAAAATCCAAAAGATGGAAAGTATAAAAGGCAAATTGATGGAAAAATACAATAGGAAAATATGATGTTTTCATTAAAAAAAAAAAAAAAAAACACTGTGTGTAGGTATTTATTTTAAAAGGGGGGAGCATTTTTAAAATACTCCAAGGGGCATAAACCAAAGTATTAGAACAGGTTATCTGGGTTTGTGCAAGAGTGATGATAGAACGGGACCAAAAATAGTATTTTTAATGTATGTACTTATGACTCATTTGAATTTGCCAAAACAGGTATATATTGTACAATATTTAAAACAATAATAAAAAATATTTAGAAAAAAACACAATTGAGGTCATAAAAAGTTATTTACATGAAAATTTGGGAAACATATTATAGCAGAAAGAAATATCAATGAAACTGGAAGGAAAATACTTGGACTCTAGGATGAATAATGCCCATAATGACAACTCGCATAGTCTTGACTTAAACTCTTCAATATGTAGGGATCACCAAGCCATGCTAGTATGTTAGAACTCCAGTCAAATTTCCTTTCATTGTTTAGGTAGTCAAGTTTCACATCATGAGGTTATAAACAGTTGAAATGTGTTTCCCACCATGTATGTCAAATGTAGAGTTGCCTCCAGGAATACTGAAGATGAGTCTAACAGAAAAGCCAGTCATTTTTAAAGAAGCTATTTTCTTTGAGGATTCGGCACTTACTATTTATTGAACTGTCCAGCTCCCTCATACTTAATTCCAATCTTGTGCCATATAATATTCCAAACTTTCAGGCAGGCTAGATATAAATCAGAAGTGAAATTGTAGTTAAATGGTACAGCCAGCTTGTTTCCATTTGGAGATAGTCCCTGACTGAAAAATGGGCTTCACAGTGTCATTTCAAAGATTTTGTTTCATTTTTTGCTTTGACAAGTAAGTGCAGAGATCAGAAATTGCAAATGCCATCCAGTATTTCAGCTGTACCGCTCTCAACCTGGCGAGTACACCAAAGCTGTTTTATATTGCTGTTGGGGGTGTCTAGGAGCAAGCATCTCAAAGGACATAATTTATTATAACTAAACAATTGTCTTTTCCTAGCAATGATTCCAGAATAGGAAATCTAAGAAGAAGTTTTGATCATGTCAATAATTGGCTCAAATAAAAGTATCATACAGGATATCAATAAAATGGAATGTTGAGTTTGCTTTCCTTTCCTTTTTTTCCCTCTCTCTTCCTCCCTTCCTTCCTTCTGGTTTGCTTATTTATTTTAGAATTGAACACAAGTGCTTATTTTATAATAATTTGGTAGTATATTGACTATTTTTTGATGTAATATTTTGTTGATTTTGAACTTTCAAAGCCAGGAAAGCAAATATTTCTTGGTTTTGCCTTCTAAAAGTTCCTTCTGCTGGCAGGAGCGAGGTACTGTGTAGATGAGTTTAATTTTCTTTTGAATATACACTAGGTAACAGAATTGCTGGTTTAATGGTACTTCTGTTTTAAATTCTGTGAAAAATCTCCAAACTTCTTTTCACAGTGGCTAAACTAATTTACATTCTCGCCACAGTGTGTAAGCATTTTATTTTCTCTGAAGTCTAACCAGAATTTGTTATTTTTTTACTTTTTAATAGTAGCCATACTGAATAATATGAGATGGTATCTTACATTGAATTGCATTTCCCTGATGATTAGTGATGTTGAACATTAAGAAAACCGTTCCATTAAAACATTGACAAGGGACATAAACAGCCACTTCTCAAAAGAAGACATACAAGTGGGATTCTTATTCTATCACAATAAGCTGCCTTTGTTTTGAAAAATACAAAATCAGACCATTTGAATATTCCCTTTATTTTAGTGATTGACAGTATGTTTCCCCTTCTCTATCTCTTTTCTCATTTGTGAATTATTTTTATGATCATTATGAATCCACTCAGCAGAGTAATCTCCATTCTTAATCTGTGTGAATTGTGCTGATGAGCTAGTCAGCTCTCTTAAAATCACCAGCAAAAGAGTTTTAAATTTCCCAGTTAGTAATACATTTTTAGCATCCCACAGGATACTCTTAGAACAATGACTTCTGGTCCAGGCGTTATGGATTATGATGATTAGTTCTCTGGATTTCTATAAGCTTTGAAATCAAGAGGTATAAATCTAAAATAAATTGAACTTCATGTTCTTTAAACATTTATTGGGTTTGTTAATTATTCCATAGGAAAACAGATGAAAGACTTTTGTAGAATTCAATTCTGTTTTACCATATTTAGGGTTAAAAGAAGGGAATTATAGTGATGTAATTGAGAGACTAAATTAACCTGTCATCACGTGATTTTTCTAGAGTTTTTTAATGGTACTGACATTCTTTTCAATATGTCAATGCCTAGCTTGGGTTTCTGGGGTAGACATGAGTAGCTAGTACTATCCATCTAAAATAAAATGTTCATTACTTGGAATAATGGTGTGGTAAGATAGTCTTCAAGATGATGCCCTCAATTTCTTTCCTCCCTGCATGCACATGCTTTTCCTCCCTGCATGCACATGCTGCTCTTTACACTGACAGGTAGAGGTGAATCTCCCATTTCTTGAATCTGTGCTGGTCGCAATGACTTGCTTTACCAATAGGATGCAGCAGAAGTCATATTCTAGGACCTCCAAGTCTAGGTCATAAGAAGTTTTGTAGTATTTCCCTGTGTGTCTTAGGAGCAACTACCAAGTTGTGAGGACTCCAGGTAACATGGAGAGGTCAGAAAGATATCACACACAGCAGCCAATATGCACTGCCAGCCATCTGAGTAACCTGTCTAGGCTCTTTAGCTTAGTTGAGCTTTCAGGTAACTTCAGCAGCAGCCAACCAACAGCAGCTACAAGGAAGACTCCAAAAGAGAACTTTTGTAGTGCCTATCAACCCACAAAACCATGAGAAGTAATGTTATTTAAAATTACTAAATAAATAATAACAATAAAAATATTAATAAATAATTCCTTAAGTTTTGGAATGGCTTACTATTCAGCAAGAGAGAGCTAGAACAAGTACTAAATATTGCACAATACTGAATTAGTATAAATTTAGCTGTGTAATATACTTCTATATTTTAAAGCCATTGACATTTCTGGACAGAGTGTAAAAGTGAGCACTGATTAAATGGTTCCCAAGAGAAGTTGTCTGTTGTATCTCAACATTGTCATTTACCAATGGGAGCTGTATTTTGCTTTTGGAAAATATGCCTTTTAAAGTTCATTTAAAAAATATACTAATAATTGTTTAGAAAGGCATATGCTATTTTGAAAAAAAAACTTGAGAGAACCAGAAAAGTGTAAACTTTAAGCCTCTAATCATATTTATATGCTATTTAACCCAGAAATCCAAAGTCTGATGGCAAATATGTTTATGTTACACTGAGTTTTGGATAAATAAGTTAAACAAACAGTTTTCTTTTTAAATGATAGGCCTTATAATTGGCATAATGTTGAGATGGCTGCAGTGCATGGACTCATCACTATAATAATATTTTCTCTTTAATACTTTTTTGGAACATTAAGTGACAACCAGAGAGTATAAAACTGGGTTACATAGCAGTAATAAAATCAGAGTGACACTTAATTTGTAGCAGCAGGATTGGAATTCTTGCTGTTGAGGTTGGTGGTAGCAAACTCAATTATGAGTGGCTTCTGCTTCATGCTTAGATGGTGTGTTGAAATATTTCCTCTTTAGAACTTTCTAACACTTCCTGTTTAAAATAGAAACAAACCCCTCTAATTTGAATTTAGCCAATTTATTGTTACAATTTGTTCATATGTTTCTACTTTTTAGACTGTGGCTTTCATGTAGAAAAATTGCATCTTATACCTCTTTTTATTAAACAGCGGTGTGCCTGCCACCTAGTTGAATTTTCAGGTTTGTTGAATAAGTAAAGTAAAATTATACCAGAAGTAAACTATTACATTTATCAACTTTACTCAGAAAACATATTGCTAAGTAAGATATACGAATCAATTCACTCACTTATTTAACAAACATGTATTAAATGACTACAGTTTGCTATGAGCTAGGAATACGGCAGTAAACAAATTTCACCTTGTCTCAAACTTCAGTGGATCCAAGAGTCTCTAGAAGTTTAATTCTTGCTCAATTAGTAATTCCTTTTCACTGAAGACTTGACAAGAAAGTTTGAGAAGGCAAGAGTGTGTGAACTCAGCAGATGTTTGTGATGCACCTACTGTGTGCCAGAAGCTGTAGTGTCACAGGATCTGTCTGTCTCCTAGGAAAGGTGAACACTAAAAACATTATTTTAATCAACAAAAAATGCCAAGTTTGCCAAATGATGGAGAGGGTAAGCACTGGGTCCCAAGAGTATGAAGGGCACTGAGCCTAGTGTGGGGTCCAGGTGTCTCTGGCATGGTGCTTTCCTAGGTCGTGGTTGTCCCTCCTTGCTCCTGCTGTCTTCTCCAGTTACATCTGCTTCTCTGCACTTCTTCATTTTACAGTGTGTGTGATGCAGTTATCTCTGAACAGGAACAGGCAACTGTACACCTGTTACGTTGTGCTTGATGCTCTGCATTGATGTACACTGGGTCCAGGTTTCCCTGGTGGACTGCTTGGGCCATTCTTGTCATCTGGCTCTGAAGACTTTATTCACAGAGGTGTACTTGCCAGATGGGGAAGCCAGAGATCTGGGGTCCTCTGTTGAGGCCACTCTCACCCTGTTTACCTTCCCTGACATACCAAACAGATGAAGCTCAGGTGAGCAGTGCACGTCAGGCCACAGTGTGGACCATGTACAATTCTTCATGCTCCAGCTTTAGCGCTCTTTCTTATTGCTGTCTTAGGACAGTATATTTAGTTGGAAGTAAATGAAAATAATGTTATTAGGGGATAAGATTAAAATCTATCCCATTTGTAAAAAAGGAAGTAGATTATTTGTGAACTGTAATACTTTATTGTTAGTGAGAAATCACCTTAAAACTTGGAAACTGGATACAAGATAATTACTTAATTCTGCAAATGTTTAGTAGCAAACTATATGCCAGGACTGTGCTAGGTACTAGGGATACATGGTTGAATATGTAGTATAAGATGCCTTGGAGTTTCATATAAATGGCTAATGCAGTATATAGACAGTGTGGTAAAAAGAGAATTCTGAGATGCACAGAGGACAGGCAATAAAGGGTCTTTGAATGGTGGATAAATGTGTTTGGATATTTCACTCATGGCGGTTGAAGTTTTTGAAGGTCAGTTGTCTCAGAGTTTTGGTGTTTTCAGGCCCTGCTAAGTATTTTGTTTCTAGTTGATCATTGGCCACCATTACTGATCATCAATTGGCTCTATCTGATCCAGCAACTCCACCACTGGGTATCTACAAAAAGGAAAAGTAATCAATGTATCAGAAAGATACCTGTACTTGTATGTTTGTTGCAACACTATTCACAGTAGAACTGATATAAATCAAACTAAATGTCCATCAACAGATGATTGGAGAAAGAAAATGTAGAAAATATACACAATGAAATACTATTCAGGCATAAAAAATAAAATCATAACTTCTGGAGACACATGGATGGAACTGGAGGCCATTATTGTAAGTGAAACAAGCCAGACACAGAGTAAACATGTAACCCATAAATTTATACACAAAAAGTCTTAGACCTCTCTCTCTTCTCCCATAAGCCTCAGAGCTCAGTGATCCCCTTGGATTTCCTCAGCCTGCTAAGTTTTGACTTTCCTACCTAAGGTGATTTTAGGCAGAGATAAGGCAGTGTTTCAGGAAGTGCTCTCAGGCACACTTCTGATGCAACATTAGAGGCTCTTCTGGTGGCCTTTATCTATTCACTGCTTTCAGCAAGGAATAAAACATCTGTGGCTAAAATTTTAAAAACAGTGTTTCCCACCTACCCTTCAGACCTGACAGAAGAGATTTTAGAATTTTAAGGGAACAGCTTTTTCCTGACCCAAAAGGGCAAAGTAGTGCAAAGGCCAATGTCACGTATGTACCTTTTCCACATCTGTAACATAACTCTCACATACTATTCCCATAGCTGGAATCAGTACAATGTTTTGACTGAGGTACTGGAAAAGCCTATGAGCTCATTATCATTTGAACATATGAATAATGTAAAATTTAGGCAGAATTTTATTTGAAAGGATTATTTGTGCATTTTTTAGTTAACTGATTTATATTTTGGTTATTTCAAACAATAAAAATCAGGTTGTTATGTTGTAAGCTACAAATATTTACAATAACACATGGTCTTGATTATCTCACATGAGGAATTGAAGATTAAAGCAAAATAATTTATCTTAGGGAACTTTGTGATAGTTTCTGTTTAACTTTGCCTCATAATGACTTCAAACTATTGTGCATATATGGAGAACTCCTGACTGAAGAGACTTTTTTTGACTACTGTGCTATGTTTATTATTGTAACTTTTTAAGATCTGGAGGAACATAAATTTAGTCTCAGTTGGTCCAGGAAATGTGGAATCAGCTTCTGTGTTATGTGCTGAGTATTGAAGCCACAGTGGAGACAAGGCTGCTGCCCTCACAGAGTCTAGGGGAGAAAACCTGATGGAGTATGGCAGAAAACACTCTGGGAGCATCCCAGGATGCCAAATCGCACACAGCTGGAATATGTGCCTTAGAACTGGGGAGGGTCAGACAAGGAGAGGCGTCAGGAAAAACAAGGAAAGATCTGCAGGAATAGAAACACACCTGAGAAATCCATGGGGAATGAATAGAGAATGGGTGAGCAGCAGCAGGTTGTCAAGATGGAAACCAAGAAGGAGCAGCCAAAGAGGTTGCTGGGGAACTAGGAGGAAGAAGGTGACAGTGAAGCCAAGGAAACAAAAGTGTTTCAACATTTCTGGAAAAAAAAAATCACATGCTCTGTCTTAACCTTGCTGTTTTATGAGTCATATAATCACACTCCAGGTTCTGAGGTGTCCAGCACTAAAGATGTTTCTTTTAGTTTACTTACCTCAGCATTGGCCAGAATAATCTGGGCTCAGTGTGAGTGTGTGCATTTGTGCGTGTGCGTGTGTGCGTGTGCGCCTGTGTGTTCCACTAACATCTCACTGGGGCTAGTGTTCTATACAACATAATTTTTTAAACACCGATTTTATCCATCCTGTGTTCAGCTGCAGCAATACTTAAAAAGGTCAACTTTGATCATGTGTCTTAGTTACTAAAGAAAACAAAATAATGAATAAAGCCCACCCTGCAGTGGCTCCTCACTGCCTGTACAATGGAGCCCACCTGGCTTGGCCTGGGTGCCCTGTGCTGACCTAGCCATACTGCTGTCTGCCTGCTCCTTTTCCTCCCCTTTCCTCCTGGAGAAGGTAGGGATGCTCTGAGGTTTGGCCAGCATGGAACATGTGTCCTCCTCCTAAAGTGGACCATGTTTTCCTGAGTCCACTTTAATCTCTTTTAAGGATATAGATCAAACAATTTATATTTTTCTGGACTCTCCTTTTCTCCCCTACCAATCTCCATACAGAGATCTGACCTTTCTTGAAGCTTTTGGTCAGGTCTCACTCTGTATGCAGTTTTCCTGCCACTTCTACAATGTACACACTTTACTCGTACATAAATTATGCTATAGCAGCCCAGGTTTTTCATTTATGTATCATTTTATATCATCTTTTTTTTTCTTAGAGCTTACTTCACTTATATATTCAATCTTTCCACAATATAATTGTATGTCATATAATTTTATATTTATTTTCATTGGTATTTATATATCTTTTCTGTAAAAATGGAGACTTTCTAAATAGATCTTCATTAATATTGAAAGAACAAAGTTTTAAGTCTTGGTCTCAGCCAAAAGGAGTTCCCTGCATATCCAGGAGGGAATGAAACACTTAAATTGTTGCATTAGATATTATTACAGAGAAAGAGAAACATGTGTAATGGAAAATTGCTAACTTTGCCTCAGGGAGATCAGGTTGATTCACTGAGAAAGTTTGAATTGGTTTAGAAAGCATGGTTCCAAGTTTTCTAGGAGAAGGAGAAAAGTTAGGGTAGGGTGTAAGAAGTAATGCCCACATCAAAAAGTTAGAAAGATCTCATATTAACAACCTAACATCACAACTGAAAGAATTAGAAAAGCAAGAAGAAATCAACCACAAAGTTTGCAGAAGACAAGAAATAACTAAAATAAGAGCTGAATTGAAAGAAATTGAGACATAAAAAACTGTTCAAATGATCACTTAATCAAAGTTTTTTGAAAAAATTAATAAGATAGTCACTAGACTAATAAAGAAGAAAAGAGAGAAGACTCAAGTAAACACAATTATAAATGATGAAGGTAATGTTACCACTGACCCCACAGAAATAAAAATAACAATCAACAACTACTCTATGAACAACTCTACTATGAACAACTACTACGAACAACTCTACACAAACTAGAAGCCCTAGAAGAGACAAATAAATTCCTGGACACATACACCCTCTCAAGACTGAACCAGGAAGAAACTCAGTCTCTGAACAAACCAATAATGAGCTCCAAAAATTGAATCAGTAATAAACAGCCTAACAACCAAGAAAAAAAAAGCCCAGAACCTGAGAGATTAACAGTAAGGTTTTAACAGATGTACAAAGAAAAGCTAGTACCATTCCTACTAAAACTATTTCAAGTAATAGTGGAGGAGGGACTTCTTCCCAACTTGTTCTACGAGGCCAGCATCATCCTGATAACAAAGCCTGGCAGTGACACAACAAAAAAGGAAAGCTTCAGGCCGGTATCCTTGATGAACATCCATTCAATAATCCACAACAAAATCCTTGCAAACCGAATCCAGCAGCACATCAAAAGGGTAATTCACCACCACAGTAACATAGGCTTCTCCCCTGGAATGGAAGGTTGGTCCATCATGGGCAAATCAATAAAATGTGATTCATAACATAAATAAAACTAAAGACAAGAACCACATGATTGTCTCAATCGATGCTGAAAAGGCTTTCAGTAGAATTCAACATGTTTCATGTTAAAAACTCTCAATAAATGAGGTATTGAAGGAACATACCTCAAAATAATAAAGGCCACCTATGACAAACTCACAGCCAACATTATACTAAATGGGCAAAATCTGGAAGCATTCTCCTGGAAACCCACACAAGACAAGGATGCCCTCTCTCACCACTCCTATTCAACGTAGTATTAGAAATCTTTGCTGGAGCAATCAGACAAGAGAAAGAAATAAAGGGTATTAAAAAAAAAAAGAAATATAGGGTATTTAAATAGAAAGAGATGTCCAACTACCTCTGTTTGCAGACAACATAATTCTCTATCTAAACCCTATACTTGTGACCCAAAATGTTCCTTAAGCTGATAAACAACTTCCACATGGTTTCAGTATACAAAATCAACGTACAAAATTTGCCAGCATTCCTATATACCAAGAAGAGCCAAACTGAGAGACAAATCAGAAAGGCAATTTTATTCACAATTTCCACAAAAAGAATAAAATACCTAGGAATACAGCTAACCAGGGAGGTGAAAGATCTCTACAATGAAAATTACAGAGCTAGACTCCGTCTCAAAAAAAAAAAAAAAAAAAAATTACAAAACACTACTCAAAGAAGTCAGATAAGACGCAAACAAATGAAAAATTATTCCATGTTAATGGACAGAAAGAACTAATATCATTTAAATGGCCATGCTGCTCAAAGCTATTCCTATTAAAGTACAAATGACATGCTTCACGAAACTAGAAAATCTATTTAAAAATTTATATGGAACCAAGAAAGAATCTAAGTAGCCAAGGCAATCCTAAGCAAAAAGAACAAAGCTTGAGGCATCACATTACCTGACTTCAAACCATGCTATAGCACTACTGTAACTAAAACAGCATGGTACTGGTACAAAAACAGACACACACACCAATGGAACAGAGTAGAGATCCCAGAAATAAGACCACACACCTCCAACTATATAATGTTTGACAAAGCTGGCAAAAACAAGCAATAAGGAAAAGTCTCCCTATTCAATAAATGGTGCTAAATGGTGCTAAATGGTGCTAGGATAACTGCCTAGCCATATGCAGAAGATTGAAGCTGGACTTCTTCCTTACACTATATACAAAAATCAACTCAAGATGGATTAAATACTTAAATGTAAAACCCAGAACTATAAAAGTCCTGGAAGATAACCTAGGCAATACCATCCTGGACATAAAAATAGGCAAAGATTTCATGATAAAGTTGCCAAAAACAATTACAACAAATGCAAATATTGACAAGTGGGATCTGATTAAACTTAATAGCTTCTGCTCAGCAAAAGAAATTATCGATAGAGTGAAGAGAAAACCTACAGAATAAGAAAACATATTTACAAACTATGTATCTGAGTCTAATATTCAACATAGGGAACTTAAATAAATTTACAAGAGAATAACAACCCTAATAAAAAGTGGCCAAAGAATTGTCTATTCATGTCCTTCGCCTACTTTTTTTTGGGATTGTTTGTTTTTTTCTTGCTAATTTGTTTGAGCTTGTTGTAGATTCTGGATATTAGTCCTTTGTCAGATATACAGATTGTGAAGATTTTCTCCCATTCTATGGATTGTCTGTTTACTCTCCTGACTGTTCCTTTTGTTGTGAAAAAGCCTTTAGTTTAATTAAATCCCATCTATTTATCTTTGTTTTTCTTGCATTTGCTTTTGGGTTCTTGGTCATGAAATCCTTGCCTAAGCCAATGTCTAGAAGGTTTTTTTCGATGTCATCTTCTAGAATTTTTATAGTTTCAGGTCTTAGATTTAAGTTCTTGATCTGTCTCATGTTGATTTTTGTACAAGATGAGATATGATGATCTAGTTTCAATCTCCTACATGTGGCTTGCCAATTATCCCAGCACGATTTGTTGAGTAGGGTGTACTTTCCCCACTTTGTTTTTGTTTGCTTTGTGAAAGATCAGATGGCTGTAAATATTTGGATTAATTTCTGGGTTCTCTATTATGTTCCATTTGTCTATGTGCCTATTTTTATACAAGAACCATGCTGTTTTTGTGATTATGGTCTTATGATATAGTTTGAAATCAGGTAATGTGATGCCTTCTGATTTGTTCTTTTTGCTTAGTATTGCTTTGGCTATGCAGGCTCTTTTTTGGTTCCATATGAATTTTAGAATTGTTGTTTGTAGTTATGTGAAGAATGATAGTGGTATTTTGATGGCAATTGCATTGAATTTGTAGATTGCTTTTGGCAGTATGGTCATACACAATTCTTAGAAGATATACAAATAGCCAAAAAACATATGAAAAAAATGCTCAACATCACTAATAATCAGGGAAATGCAAATTACAACCATGATGCGATACCACCTTACTCCCACAAGAATGGTCATAATCAAAAAATAAAAACATAATAGATGTTGGTGTGAATGTGGTGAAAAGGGAACACTTCTACACTGCTGGTGGGAACGTAAAGTAGAACAATCACTATGGAAAACAGTGTGGAGATTCCTTAAAGAACTAAAAGTAGAAGTACCATTTGATCCCTCAATCCCACTACTGGCTGTGTACCCAGAGGAAAAAAGAAGTTATTATGCAAAAAAGATACCTGCACACACGTATTTATAGCAGCACAATTTGCAGTTGCAAAGATGTAGAACCAATCCAAATGCCCATCAGTCAATGAGTGGATAAAGAAACTGTGGTATATATGTAGGATGGAATACTATTCAGCCATAAAAAGAAATGAATTAATAGCAATTGCAGCAACCTGGATGGGATTGAAGACTATTAATTTAAGTGAAGTAACTCAGGAATGGAAAACCAAACATCATATATTCTCACTTAGGGAGCTAAGCTATAAGGATGCAAAGGCATAAGAATAACACAGTGGACTTTGGGGACTCACGGGGAAAGGGGTAAAGGGGGCGAGGGATAAAAGGCTACAAATTGGGTTCAGTGTATACTGATGAGGTGATGGATGTACCAAAATTTTACAAATCACCGATAAAGAACTTACTAATGTTACCAAATACCACCTGTTGCCCCAAAACCTATGGAAATAAAAAATAATTTAAAAAGTTGGCAAAAGACATGAACACTTTTCAAAAGAATATATACATGTGACCAACAACCATAGAATACAAAGCTCAATATCACTGATCATTAGAGAAATGCAAATCAAAGGCACAGTGAGACACCATCTTGCACCAGTCAGAATGTCTACTATTAAAAAGTCAAAAAATAACAGATGCTGGCAAGGTTGTGGAGAAAGACAACACATACACTGTTGGTTGGAGAGTACACTGGTTCCACCATTGTGGAAAGCAGTATGGTAATTCCTCGAAAGAGCTAAAAGCAGAACCATCACTTGACCCAGCAATCTCATTACTGGGCATATACCCAGATGTATATAAATTGTTCTATCATAAAGACACAAGCACATACATGTTTATTGCAGCACTATTACAGTGGTAAAGACATGGAATCAACCTAAATGCCCATTGATGACAGACTGAATAAAGATAATGTGAGACATTATGGAGGAAAAGTTAAACATTAAATTTGAACTCAATTGAACATGGACACAACCAATGGTCACGTTGTGCACATGTACCCTAAAACTTAAAGTATAATAATAATAAAATAAATTTTTAAAAAATGGTCACTAAGACCTGGAACGAGTTGTGTGAGCCCCTTGAGGCATTCATTCAGCACTGTTTCAGAGAAATAGTTATTGAAAAACAACAGACAATTGCAAAAACAATTGCACCACCACGCTGGGCTAATTTTTGTATTTTTAATAGAGATGGGGTTTTACCATGTTGGCCAGGCTGGTCTCGAACCCCTGACCTCAAGTGATGCACCAGCCTTGGCCTCCCAAAGTGTTGGAAATACAGGCTTGTGAAGATATGCTTTTGATGACCATTTTGAATTCCTTGAGCCCAGTCAAGAAGGGCCCTCATGACTGGGCCTCATGTCGAACAACTTGTTACAAAAAGAGCTAGTTTCCCAGACCGTGCTGAAGTTTCATGGGACCTCTGTTCATCTGTGCACAGACTAGTGGCCAACTCTGGAGCCCAGGTAGTTGCTTCCCCATCTGGTGATGAATCCTTCATCATCTGGTGACTATATATATATACACATGTATTTTATATATATATATATATATATATATATATATATATACACACACACACACACACACGCATCATACATACACACACAAACATATATGTATATTTATTATATACATGTCTTTTCCCTTCTCCCCTTCCCATTGCAATTTGTTTATTATATCATTGGTTTATTAGATGATTTGCTTATTATATCTGTATTGCCATATACTCGGGATAAAGTCTGTTTACCCTTAAAAGTATTGTGTGTTTCTTTTCTTCTCTCCTCACACATTTCCCACACAGAACACACATATGCACCATGGAATACTATGCAACTATGTGTTCTCACTTATAAGAGGGAGCGAAATAATGAGAACTTATGCACACAAAGAAGGAAACAACAGACATTGGGGTCTACTTGATGGGGGAGGGTGGGAGGAGGGAGAGCAACAGAAAAGATAACTATGCGGTACCAGGCTTAATACCTGGTTTATAAAATAATCTGTATAACAAGCCCCTGTGATACGAGTTTATCTATGTAACAAACCTTCACATGTACCCCTGAACCTAAAATAAAAAAAATTTAAAATCCTTTATGAAAGCTATAAGATCTGCTCCTGTGTGTTTTTATGTCTATATGTGTTACGTGTATGTGATATTTTGTAAATAAAGCTAGTTCTTAAATCGTTAGTAAAATAGAAATAGCTTTACAATTATCAGTTAAATATAATTAGATACTTGCTTGATTTAACTGTGAGCCTATGTCTTTTGTTGAGAGTTTCTGGATTCAGGGGGTCTTGATAGGTGTCCACGATGAAGTCTGGAGACATGTTCTCAGTGTCTAGACCAGCAGTTACAAGCCAGAATCAAGCCCAATTGGCCCCTTCTTTCTATGCTTTTCCTATTTTGCTTCCTGCCTATTTTAGGAAGGATTGGTTCCTCCAGGTATAGCCTTCACAGCACTGTCTTTAGTCCTAATGGACTCAGGCAGGCCGTGATCTTCATAGTTTTCCTGGGTGCCATGTGGCTACTTGGGACCTAGAATTACTGAGGGAAGACATTAGGGATGCTACCTGTGTCACAGTTCCAAAATTCTGTTCAGTAATTTAAAACCTTAACTTCATGTTAAATTAAGTAATAGATAATTATAAAATGTCTTGAGTCATTTGTAAGCTAAAATAATGAAATATTCACCATTAAAAATTAGTTCTATATACCATGACATATTACTTGTATATGGTATAGAAAACTTAAATATCTTTAGTTCTGTTAATAAACAATAATTTGAAGAACTATATTTCTTCAAAATTATAAAATGGTTTTTATCTAAAAATACTGTTGTAAGACAATAGAAAATCACTTTTTAGGATTTTCACTGAAAATTGGGGTTACTAAGACTTAATTACTAGATATGAGAGAAACAATTCTGTATACAGAGTGTATAAAAAAGCAAGATATCCTTCTTTTTTTATTATTTATTTTTAGACCGAGTCCTGTTCTGTTGCCCAGGCTGGCATGCAGTGGCATGATCTCAGCTCACTGCAACCTCCACCTCCCGAGTTCAAGTGATTCACCTGCCTCAGCCTCCCAAGTAGCTGGGATTACAGGTCCTCACCACCATGCCGGGCTAATTTTTGTATTTTTAGTAGAGACGGGGTTTCACTATGTTGGCCAGGCTGGCCTCGAACCCCTGACCTCAAGTGATGCACCCGCCTTGGCCTCCCAAAGTGCTGGGATTACAGGCTTGTGAAGATATACTTTTGATGAGAAAACTTATAAAGGCGTAAACATATGTTTTAATTTTTTTTTGTTTGAAGTTACTTAAAGGTTTCAAATTGTACAAGTAAAAAATAGATAAAACTAGGTAAATATAGAAAGCTGGGGGAAATGCAAAGCATAGGTTCACAAAGATCTGGGATTAAAAGATGACACATTTGATAAATTTATTCATAAAATTTTATTAAATTAACTTCAGAGGCTGGGTGTGGTGGCTCACGCCTGTAAATAATAAAATTTTCTTGTCAATTGTGTCTATGACAATTTAAAAACATTTCCACTGTAAATTGCTTAATTCTGAGGCAGTTTCTGAAAACTGTACAAGCTTGCAAAATTATAGAATACTGTATCTTTAAGGAGTTTCATGAAAGGAGGGAAAAGGTCCTGAGAAGAATTCTAGAATACAGATTTTTGAGAACTTTAGAATCATATCATTTGAACGAGTAAGAATTCCCAGAACTTTAATGAAGAGACTGACTGGTTTATAAACTGCTAACCCAAACAGAGTAAAAATCAACTGAATACCAAGAAATTACTTTGTCAGATTTTCATGACAAATAAGCCAGTACTTAAATTGTCTAGATAAAGTATTTGAATGAACTCCATAGTCCAAGTCAAATTATCGGTGATAATCCCTGATTAGTGTCAGTGCTATGCACCTAAGTTGAAGAAACAGTCCAATGTTAAACGTGGAGAACCAGGATGTCTTCCATGTCCTTCCTGAGTTCTGAATGCTTTTCTGATTAAAAGTTCTGCATTCTGATTCTTGGGTGTGAGGGTAAAGCAAGATGGCAGAAAGAAGGCTCCACTGATCTTCCATCCTGCAAGGACACCAGATGAACAACTATTAATATCTACATAGAAAATACTTTCATAAGAACCAAAAATCAGGTGAGTACTCAAAATACCTGGTTTTAACTTCATATCACTGAAAGAGGCACTGAGAAGAGAGAAAAAACAGTCCTGAATCACCGGTTCCACCATTTCCTCACCCCCAGCAGTGATAGAGTGGTGCAGAGATCAACTCTGGGCTCTGCAGGAGGGAGAACACAGCAATTGTGAGGCATCGAACCCTGTGCTGTCCTGTTAGAGCAGAAAGGAAAACCAGACCGAATGCAGTCAATGCCCATCCACAGAGGGATCATTTAAACCAGCCCTAGCCAGAGGGGAATCAGATTCCAGTGGTTGGAACTTGAGCGTTTGGAAACCTGGCAACTGAGGGCTCCAGCGCTCTGTGTATCTAAGAAAATTTGAAAGGCAGCATAGGCCATCAGGACTGCAAATCTTAGGTGAGGCCTAGGGCTGATCTGGGCCCAGGAACAGTAAACTGGGGTAGGGAGGGCATGCAACATACTGAGACAGCAGCTGGGGCAGCCAAAGGAGTTCTGGCACTATCACTCCCCTAATACCAGTCTGCACAGCTCATGGCTCCAAAAGGGACACCATCCTTCTGCTTGAGGAGAGGAGGAAAAGATTAGGGAGGACTTTGTTTTCCATCCTGGCTACCAGCTCAGCCACAGCAAGATAGCTCACTGGTCAGAGTCCTGAGGCCTCCTTTCCAGGCTCTGGCTCCTGGACATTCCTAGACACACCCAGGCCAGAAGGAAACCTGCTGCCTTAAAGGAAAGAACCCAGTGCTGGCAGCATTTATCACCTGCAAACTTAACAACTTTTGGGCCCTGAATAACAAGCAGCCATACCCAGGTACTATATCAAGAGCCTTGGGTGAGCCTCATAGACTTACTAGATTTAGGTGAGACTCAGCTCATTACAAGCTGTGGTGGCTAAAGGGCAAAACTCCCTTTGCTTGGGAAAAGCAGAGGGAAAAGTAAAGGGGACTTCGTCTTGCCACTTAAGTACCAGCAAGGCCAGAGGAGCGTAGAGCACCAAGAAAGCTTTTGGAATCCCTGATTCTAGGACTTGATTCTTGGTTGGCATGTATGAACCTGCCCAGGGCCAGTGGGGAGCCCACTGGCCTGAAAATGGCAAGTCCCAGGCCAGGCAACATTCATCACAACCTGAAAAGAGGCTTTGGGCCTTAAAGGAACATTGGTGGTAGCCTGGCAGTATTCCTTGTGTCCTGGGTTGCTGGTAGTTACTCTGCCTTTGGAAAAGGAAAGGAGGAATAGGAAGGACTGTGTCTTGTGATTTCAATGCTAGCTCCGCTGGAATGCAATAGAATGTCAGGTGCCCTGAAGGAAAGAACCCAGATGTAGCTGGCTTTGCCACCTGCTAATTGTAGAGACCAAAGGCCTTGAGTGAACATAGGTAGTCATCAGAAAGTGCATGCGGCAGAACTTGAGCAAGACCCAGTGCTGTGCTAGCTTTAGATCTGATCCAGGGCAGTCATAGTGGTGGTGGCCAGGGGTGTTTGTGTCATTCTACTCCCAATTTTAGGTGGCTTAGAATATAGAGAAAGACTACTGTATCTTTGAGGGAAAATAAGGTTAGAGAACAAGGGTCTCTGGCTAGTAATCCAGAAAATTCTCCTGGATCTTGTCCAAGACTGTCAAGGTGGTACTTCTATAAGTCTGCAAGAATTACAGAATTATTGGGTATAAGGTGCCTCCCAAAGCAGGTATGGCTTAGATCACAACACAAGCCTTTTCAAATATGTGGAAATCCTTCCCAAGAAAGATGGCTATGAATAAGCCCAGACAATGAATACTACAATAAATACTCACCTTTTAAAAAAAAAAAATTCTTTTTTTTAACCTCTTATATGATGCTGCATGCCAAAATTTTAATGTCCAGACACTGAAGAACATCTACTAACAACACCATCCAAGAAAATATGACCTCACCAAGTGAACTAAACAAGGCACCAGGGACAAATCCTGGAGAAAAAGAGATATGTAATCTTTCAGACAGAATTCAAAATAGCTGTATTAAAAAAAAAAAAAACTCAGAAATTTAAGATAACAAAGTAAAGAAATTCCAAATTTTATCAGCTAAACTCAACAAAGAGATTGAAATAGTTACAACAAATTAAGCAAAAATTCAGGAGCTGAAAAATGCAATTGGCATGCTGAATAATGCATTAGAGCCATTTAATAGCAGAATGGATCAAGCAGAAGAAATAGTGAACTTGAAGACAGGCTTGAGACAAAAGAAAAAGAATAAAAACAACAAATAATGCCTACAGGATCTAGAAAATAGCCTCACAAAGACAGGTCTAAGAGTTATTGGTTTTAAAGAAGATGTAGAGAAAGAGACAGGGGTAGAAAAATTTATTTAAAGGGATAATAACAGAAAACTTTCCAAACCTAGAGAAAGATATCCAAATCCAACTAAAAAATGTTATAGAACATTAAGCAGATTTAACCCAAAAAAGACTACTTCAAAGCATTCAATAACCAATCTTCAAAAAGTCAAAGAAAAGAAAAGTTCTACAAAAGTAAAAGAAAAGAAGCAAATAACATACAGGGGAGCTCCAACACATCTGGCAGCAGACTTTACATTGGAAACCCTATCGGCCAGGAGAAAGAAGCAATAAATATTTAAAGCACTAAAGGAAAAGAACCTTTACCTTAGGATAGCATATACAGTGAAAATGTTCTTCAAATAAAAAGAATACTGACTTTTCCAGACAAACAAAAGCTGAAGGATTTCAATACCACACCTGTCCTACAAGGAATGCTAAAGGGAGTACTTCAGTCAGGAAGGACATTAATGAGCAATAAATAATCAACTGAAGGTAAAAAAATCGTCATCGATAATAGTAACTATACAAAACAAAACAGAATATTATAACACTATAGCTGTGGTGTGTAAACTCATTCTATGTAGGAAGACTAAATAATAAACCAATCAAGAGTAATAACTACAAGAACGTTTCAAGACATAGTACAAAAAAATATAAATAGAAACAACAAAAAGTTAAAAAGTGAAGGGATGAGCACACCCGTCCTGAGCGGGCCTGATGTTGTGGAAGCTCGGGAGCCGGGTGAAGGCCTGGAGCATCGCCAGAAGGGAGATCGCCCGTAGACCCCTAAGCCTGGGCAGGGGACGGAGGCCTCTGGCGCCCCAGAGCAACAGCAGGGCGGCACCATGGCGGTCCTGCGCGTGGCCCGGCAGCCGGCGACGGAGGGAGGCTCTGGGAGGCAGGAGGAAGGCACAGAGTGGTGGCCAGCAGTGCTCGGGGGAATAGAGGGAGAGAGCAGCTCGGCCGGCTCGGGGATCCCGGATCCAAGCCCCGCAGCCCCGGGGTGGCGATGATGCCTGGAGTCCGGCGGGCGTGGCAGTGCCGGGCTCTTGCGGCATCCAGGCGCCACTGCCAGCGCCTACAGCCATATCACCCTGCCCGATCTCATCTGACCTCGGAAGTTAAGCAGGGTCGGTCCTGGTTAGTACTCGGATGGGAGGCCGCCTGGGAATGCTGGGTGCTGTAGGGTTTGGCTTCGCCCTCCCTCTTTCCACCTTTTGTCGCCGTGCTTCACGACCTTCCCCTAATTCTGCTCCCGCTTTTACCGTCACCTGCAGCCCCGAAGCAGCCTGGGACCTCCTCGTGGGAGTCCACCGCTGCAGCACCACCAGGCAACAGGATCCCACATCTTCCGCCTTGCTGCAGCCCCACCAGGTGCCCAGCTCCAGCCGGGGCGGGGGCGGTACATGTTCCCTAAGGTGCCCGGTGTCTTCACGCTCCCGGGACGCCCAGGCAATTCAATTTACTCATCAGGCTCCATGCAACAGCTCAAGCCAGGGGAAGTGGCGGCCAGGGGCAGAGGGTCCCACAGACGGCAGCCAAAACCACTGCTCCAGGACCTATGAGCTGCTTTCCCCAGGGGAAGGACACTGCCGTCACCAGTCACGAGGAAATCTGTCCCTGTGCACCCCAATTCCTATTGCCACCGACTTCGTGTAAACTCCAGTCCCGAGGACACGAGAGAGACCCAGGCCTCGGGCCCCGTCAGCACGCTCCATGCCATGGCTCCCACCACACGGACGGACGCACTCTACAAATCTCGGGGCCCACCACACCAAGAAGACAGGGAGTAGCCAACAAAAGGAGGACCCTATGAAACGCACCCCCAAAGCAACCAACCAATCTATGAAAAAATACGTCTCAGAGTTCTGTTGGTCCTCTTGCAGAACAGGGCCCTGACCCCCTGTTCTGGCCTGGCTCAATCACCCTCCACCCTACCCCAGCCTGCTTGAATGAGCCCTGTCTACCAGAGCAGAGCGCTTCCTCTCCCAGGCTCTATCGCTCTGGCTCTCTAGCTCTCTCACCCTCTCTCTGTTTCTCTTCTTCCCCCTCCATCTCTCTGTCACCTTCTCTCTCTCTTTCCTCCCTGTCTCTCTCTTTATCGCTGTCTCTCTCCCTCAGTTTCTATCTCTCCATCCCTCTTTCCCTTGCTCTCCTTCAAGGTGTCTATCTGTATCTTTGTGTATCTGTGTGTGTGTGTGTGTGTGTGTCTGTGTGCCCACGCGCGTGCACCCATGTGTGTCTGTGGGTGTAGGGGTGGGTTTGCTCGTGGTGCTGGTGAGGTGTGTCTGGCTGTCCATCAGCCTCTCTCTCCCGGGATCAGTCGGCCAGCTCTAGTGGCAGCGCGGGGCAAAGCAGCTCCCCCAACTCATTTGGCCGTGGGTCACGTCCTTGTCGGGACAAGCGACGCTGTTAGGGACGTTGTGAGAGAAAGGGTCCCTGGGGCTAGGCCGGCGGTTCAGCCCTGAGCAGCCCTAGCAGCTCTGGGTGGGTGAGGCAAGAGGGGGCCTTGCAGGAGGGGCGGCGAGGGAACAAAAATAATCCCTCTGCGGCAAGGAGGAGGACAGGAGGGTATCCCAGGACCGTGGGCCCAGGGCCCTGACGCCTGGGAGCACAAACTGTCCTGAACAGGTCCGATGTGGTGGAAGCTTGGGAGCTCAGTAGCCTGGGGAAGCCCTGGAGCGTCGGAGGAATGGAGGCTGCCCAGAGAACCCGAAGTCTGGGCAGGGGATGGAAACCTCTGGCTTCCCCACTCAACAGCAGGGCGGCGCCGCGGTGGTCCAGTGCGTGGCCTTGCCTGTGATGGCGGGAGGCTCTTGGAGGCCGGCGGAAGGCGCAGCGCGGCAGCCTACAGTGCTCCGGCATGGAGTGGGAGAGCAGCCCAGCAGCAGGCGAGTGGCTCAGGGGTATCCCAATCCGAGCCCTGCGGCCCTGGAGTGGCAGTGACGCCTGGAGTCGGGCGGGCATGGCTGAGCCAGGTTCTTGTGTCAGCTAGGTATCACTGCCTGTGTCTATGGCAGTGCCCTGAAGATGCCTAATTTCTTCTGGTCTGTGAAGCTAAGCAGGGTGGGGCCTGGTTCAGTGCTTGGAAGGGAGACCGCCTGGGAATACCGGGTGCTGTAGGCTTTTGGCTTCCCGCTCCCTCCGTCTTTCTCCCTTTTGTCGCCCTGCTTCCCAACCACCCCCTGACTCTGCTACCCCTTTTCCCTACCGCACCCCAGGGCCTCCTCGTGGGGGTCCACCGCTGCAGCACCGCCAGGCAGCAGCATCCCACCTCTTCCGCCTTGCTGCAGCTCCACCAGGTCCCCAACTCTAGGCAGGGCGGGGCAGGCCAGGACCAGACCCCAAAGGCGCAGGCACAGGTTCCCTGCCATCCTGGTTGTCTTCCTGCTCCAGGAAAGCCCAGGTAATTCAATTCACTCATCTGGTGCCGCCGCAAACGTCCAAACCTGGGGAAGTTGCAGGCAGGGGTAGAGGGTCCCACAGACGCCAGCCAAGACCCCCTCCAGAACCCATGGGCTGCTTTTTCCAGGGAAGGACATTGCCTTTGCCAGCTACCAGGAAAACGTCCTTGTGAACCCAGATTCCCATTGCCACCGACTTCGTGTAAACTCCCGTCCCAAGGACAAGAGAGACCCAGGCCACAGGCGAGGATTCTCTGACTTGCACCCAGGGTGCTTGTCTCGCCCACGGGGGCACTGGGCGATGGGAACAGGATGCCTGGCTTTAAAGGGGTTGTTGAGGCAGTCTGTGGAAAAACTTCCCAGGGAGGACAGTGCCTTCCCGGCAGCCCCTGCGGCAGACTCGTGGTTGGGGGGGTCGTGGAGTCCCTGTCTTGCACACAGGGTGCGTGTCTCGCCCTCAGGGGGCACCCCATGGCGGCAAGAATTCCCCCGGAGAATGGTAACAGGATGCCCCGCTTTAAAGACACGCACTCTGGGTGCAAGCCAGGGACTCCACGACCGAACCCGGCAAAGAGACTGCCGGGAAGACACTGTTCTCCATGGGATTTTTTTCCCCGGACTGGCTCAACTTCTCCTTTCAAGCCTGGCATCCTGTTCCCTTCCAGCGGGGGATATCTTGCCGCTTTGGGGTGCCCGTCGTGGGCGCCGCACGATTCTGGGTGCAAGCCAGAGACTCCACAAACACGCCGGGCCCTGCGCAGCGGCTTCCGGGAAGGCACTGTCATCCGTGGGAGGGCCCGGCCCGCCACTTTTTACCCCCTGCTGCCTCAACGTCACCTTCCAAGCCTGGCGTCCTCTTCCCTTCCCCTGGAGGCCTTCGTGCTGCTTTGGGGTGCCCCCTGTGGGCGAGACACACAACCTGGGTGCAAGCCAGGGACTCCGCGACCATCCCTGGCCCGGCGCAGGGGTGGCCATCCTTGGGACGACACCATCCCGCCACTTTTTTCCTTGGACTGTCTCCACTATCCCCTTCAACCCTGGCGTCCTGTACCCTTCCCCCAGTGGCCTTCTTGCCGCTTTGTGGTGCTCCCCGTGGGTGAGACACGCACCCGGGGTGCAAGACAGGGACTCCAGGACGCTCCCGGGCCCACTGCAGAGGCTGCTGGGAAGGCAGTGTCGTCCGTGAGAGGACCCCAGCATCCCCGCTTTTTTTCCCCGGGGCTGCCTCAACTTCCCCCTTCAAGACTGACGTGCTGTCCCTTTCCCCCGGGAACCTTCTTGCTGCTTTGTGGTGCCCGCCGTGGGCAAGACACTCACCCTGGGTGCAAGCCAGGGAATCAACAACCCCCGCATGCCCGGCAAAGGGGCTGCCGGTAAGGCACTGTCATTCGTGGGATCACCCCAGCCTCGCTGCTTTTTTCTCCAGGCTACCTAAACGTCCCCATTCAAGCCTGGCGTCCTGTTGCCTTCCCGCGGGGGACTTCTTGCCACTTTGGGGTGCCCCCCGTGGGCGAGACACGCACATTGTGTGCAAGACAGGGACTCCGCGACCCTCCCGGGACTGGCATAGGGGCTGTAGGGAAGGCACTGTCATCCGTGAAAGGACCCCAGCCTCGCCCCTTTTTTTCCTGGGCTGCCTCAACGTCCCCTTTCAAGTCTGGCATCCTGTTCTTCCCCCCCCGGGGCTTTCTTGCTGCTTTGGGGTGCCACCCGTGGGCGAGGCACGCACCCTGGGTGTAAACCAGGGACTCCAAGACCCCCAGGGCCAGGCGCAGGGGATGTCGGGAAGTCACTGTCCTCCGTGGAAAGTTTTTCCCTGGACTGCCTCAAAGTCCCCTTTCAAGCCTGGCATCCTGTTCCCTTCCCCCGGAGCCCTTCTTGCAGCTTTCGCGTGCACACTTAGGCGAGACACGCACTCTGTTGCAAGACAGGGACTCCAAACCCCCCCGCCTGGGCCAGGCTCAGGGGCTGCCGGGAAGGCACTGTGGTCTGTGGGACGACCACAGCCTAGCCGCTGTTTTCCTCTGGCTGGCCCAACGTCCCTCTTCAAGCCTGACATGTTGTCCCCTTCCCCCGGGGGCCCTGTTGCCACTTTCACGTGCACCCCGTGAGCAAGACAGGCACCCTGGGTCCAAGCCAGGGGCTCCACCGTCCACCTGGGTCCCACTCAGAGGCTGCCGGGAAGGCACTGTTCTCAGTGGAAATTTTTTCCCCGGACTGCCTCAACGTCCCCTTTCAAGCTCGGCGTCCTGTTCCCTTCCACTCGGGGACTTCTTACCGCATTGCGGTGCCCATCGTGGGCACGACACGCACCCCGGGTGCAAGCCAGGGACTCCACAACCACCCCAGGCCCGATGCAGGGGCTACCGGACAAGACACTGTTGTCCTTGGGATGACACCGGTCTGCCTCAACTCTACCTTTCAACCCTGGAGTCCTGTACCCTTCCCCTGGGGGCCTTCTTGCTGCTTTGTGGTGCCACTCGTGGGCGAGACACACAACCTGGGAGCAAGCCAGAGACTCCACGACACCTCTGGGCCCACTGCAGAGGCTGCCAGGAAGGCGGTGTCATCCGTGGGAGGACCCCAGCTTCACCACTTTTACCCCGGGGCCGCCTCAACCTCCCCTTCAAGCCTGACGTGCTCTCCCTTCCCCCGGGAATCTACTTGCCGCTTTGGGGTGCCCCCTTGAGCGAGACACGCACCCTGGGTGCAAGCCACGGACTCCAGGACCACCCTGGCCCAGCGAAGGGGCTGCCAGGAAGGCACTGTCGTTTGTGGGAGAAACTCAGCGTCGCCGTTTTTTTCCACGGGCTACCTCAAAGTCCCCCTTCAAGTCTGAGGTGCTGTCCCCTTCCCCCAGGGGCCTACTTGCCGCTTTGGGGTGCCTCCCATGGGCGAAACACGCACCCTGGGTGCAAGATAGGGACTCCACGATCCCCCCGGGCCCAGCGCAGGGACTGCCAGGAAGGCACTGTCATCCGTAGGAGGAACCCGACTAGCCGCTTTTCTCTCTGTGCTGCCTCAGCATCCCCATTAAAGCCTGGCCTTCTGTGGCGTTCGCCCGGCGGCCTTCTTGCCACTTTGGGGTGCCCCCATGGGTGCGACCCGCACCCTCGGTGCAAGCCAGGGACTCCACGACCACCCCGGGCCTGACGCAGGGGCTGCTGGGAAGGCACTGTCGTCCATGGGACGACCCCAGCCTGCCACGTTTTTCCCCGGACTGCCTCAACTATCCCTTTCAACCCTGGCGTCCCATACCCTTCCCCCGGTGGCCTTCTTGCCGCTTTGTGGTGCCCCCCGAGGGCGAGACACGCACCTTGGGTGCAAGCCAAGGACTCCATGACGCTCCCAGGCCCACCACAGATGCTGTCGGGAAGACAGTGTTATCCGTGGCAGGACCCCAGCATCCCCTCTTTATTCCCGGGGCTGCCTCAACGTCCCCCTCCAAGCCTGACGTGCTGTCCCCTTCCCCTGGGAACCTACTTGCCGCTTTGGGGTGCCCCCCGTGGAACCCTGGGTGCAAGCCTGGGACACAACAACCCCCTCGGGCCTGGCAAAGGGGCTGCCGGGAAGGCACCGTGGTCCGTGGGAAGTTTTTTCCTGGACTGCTTCAAAGTCCCCTTTCAAGCCTGGCGTCCTGTTCCCTTCCCAGGGGGCATTCTTGCCGCTTTGGGGTGTCCCCCCGTGGGCGCGACACGCACCCTGGGTTCAAGTCAGGAACTCCACGACAACCCCGAGTCTGGCGCAGGGGCTGCCGGGAAGGCACTGTCGTCCGTGTGACGATCGCTGCCTGCTGCTTTTTCCCTCGTGCTGCCTCAACGTCACCTTTCACGCCTGGCGTTCTACTCCCTTCCCCCGGAGGCCTTCTTGGCGCTTTGGGGTGCCCCCTGGGGTGCGACACGCACCCTGGGTGCAAGCAAGCGACTCCACAACCCTATTGGGCAGGGCGTAGAGGCTGCCAGGAAGGCAGCGTCATTGTTAGAAGGACTTCAACCCACAGCCTTATTCCCCGTGCTGCCTCAATGTCCCCTTTTAAGCCTAACACCCTGTTTCCTTCCCCTGGGGGACTTCTTGCCACTTTGGGGTGGCCCAATGGGAGATACACGCACCCTGGGTGAAAGCCAGGGACTCCACGACCCGCCCGGAGATGGCACATGGGATGCCGGGAAGGCACTGTCATCGGTGGAAGGACCCCAGCCTCCCTGTTTTTTTCTCCGGGCTGCCTCAACGTCCCTCTTTAAGACCGACATGCTTTCCCCTTCCCGTGGGGTCATTCTTGACGCTTTGGGGTGCCCGCCGTGGGGGCGACACGCACCCTGGGTGCAATCCAGCGACTTCACGACCCCACCGGGCCCAGCGCAGGGGCTGTCGGGAAGGCACTGTGCCTCCTGGGAAGTTTTTCCCCAGACTGCCTCAACGTCTTTTTTCAAGACGCGTCTGCTTCCCTTCCCCCTAAGGCCTTCTTGCGAGTTTGTTGTGCCCCCCGTGGGAGAGACACGCACCCTGGGTGCAAGCCAGGGACTCCACGACCCCCCCGGGACAGGCGCAGGGGCTGCCGGGAGGCACTGTCATCCGTGGGAAGACCCTGGCCTGCCGCTTTTTTCCCTGTGCTGCCTCAACATCCGCTTTCAAGCCTGGAGTCCTGTTCCCTTCCCCCGGCGTCTTCTTGTCGCTTTGGGGTGCCCCCCATGGGCGCGACACACACCCTAGGTGCAAGCCAGGGATTCCACGACCTCTCTAGACCCGGCGCAGGGCCTGTCGGGGAGCCACTGTACTCTCTGGGAAGTTTTTTTTCCGGACTTCCTCTACGTCCCCTTTCAAGCCTGGCGTCTGTTCCCTTCCACCGGGGGCCTTCTTGCCTCTTAAAGGTGCCACACGTGGGCGCAGCACAAACCCTGGGTGCAAGCCAGGGCCTCCACAAACCCCCCCGGGAACAGTGCAGGGGCTGCCTACAAGATACTGTCGTCGGTAGGAGGACCCTGGCCCGCCGCTTTTTTCCCAGTACTGCCTCAACGTCTACTTTCAAGCCTGGCGTCCTGTTATCTACCACCAGAAGCCTTCTTGCCGCTTTGGGTTGTTCCCTGTGGGCTACACGCGCACCCTAGGTGCAAGCCAGGGACTCCACGACACCCCAGTGCCCGGCGCAGGGGCTGCCGGGAAGGGACTGTCATCCATGGGAGAACCCCAGCCTCGCCGCTTTTATCCCATGCTGCCTCAACCTCTCCCTTAAAGCCTGATGTGCGGTCCCTTTCCCTCGGGTGCCTTCTTTCCCCTTTGGGGAGCCCCTGTGGGCGAAACGCACACCCTGCCTGCAAGCCAGGGACGCCACGACCACCCCCCCCCGCCCCCGGGCCAGGCGCAGGGGCTGCCAGGAAGGCACTGTCATCCGTGGAACTACCCTGGCCCGCCGCTTTTCCCCCGGGCAGCCTCAACATCTCATTTAAACCCTAGCGTCCTGTTCCCCTTCCCCGGGGGCCTTCTTTCCGCTTTGGGATGCGCCCCCGCCATGGGCGAGAAACCTACCCTGGTATAAGACAGGGACTCCACAACTCCCCCGGGCCCGGCGCAGGGGCTGCAGGGAAGGCATTGTTGTCCATGGGAGGAACACAGCTTCACCGCTTTTTTCCCGGGCTATCTCAACATCCACCTTCAAGCCAGATGTGCTGTCTCCATCCTTTGGGGGCCTTCTTGCCACTTTGGGGTGCCCCCTGTGGGCGAGACACGCACCCTGGGTGCAAGCCAGGGACCCACGACCCCTCTGGTTCCGGCGCAGAAGCTGCCGGGAAGTGACTGTCATCCGTGGGAGGACACCAACCCATCAGTTTTTTCCTCGTGCTACCTCAATGTCCCCTTTCAAGCCTGGCGTCTTGTTCCCTTCCCTCTGGGGCCTTCTTTCCCCTTTGGGTGCCTCCAGTGGGCGCGATGCCACCCTGGGTGCAAGCCAGAGAATCCACGACCCTCCCAGGACAGGCGCAGCGGCTGCCGGGAAGGCACTGTCATCCGTGGGACTACCCTGGCCTGCTGCTTTTTTCCCCGTGCTGCCTCAACTTCACATTTCAATCGTGGCGTCATGTTCCCTTCCCCCGGAGGCCTTCTTGCTGCTTTGGGGTGTCCCTCATGGGAGCGATACGCCCCCTGGGTGAAAGCCATGGGCTGCATGGCTCTCCCGGGTCTGGCGCAGGGGCTACGGGGAAAACACTGTCCTCCGTGGGAAGTTTTTCCCCGGACTACCTCAAAGTCCCCTTTCAAGCCTGGCGTCCTGTTCCCTTCCCCCTGGGGCCTTCTTGCCGCTTTAGGGTGACCCCTGTGGGTGCGACACGCAGCCTGGGTGGGAGTCAGGGACTGCACAAGCCCCCCGGGCATGGCGCAGTGGCTGCCTGGAAGGCACTGTCATCCGTGGGGGGGACTCCGGCCTTCCGCTTTTTTCCCTGTGCTGCCTCAACGTCCTGTTTCAAGCCTGGCGTCCTGTTCCCTATCCCCGGAGGCCTTCTTGCCGCTTTGGGGTGTCCCCCGTGGGCTTCACACGCACCCTTGGTGCAAGCCAGAGACTCCACGACCCTCCAGGGCCTGGCTCAGGGGCTGCCGGGAAAACACTGTCATCCGTGGGAGGATCCTGGCCCACTGCTTTTTTCCAGTGCTGCCTCAACGTCCCCTTTCAAGCCTGGCATCCTGTTCCCTTCCCTCGAAGGCCTTCTGGCCGCTTTTATGTGCCCTCCGTGGGCAAGAAATGCACCATGGGTGCAAGCCAGGGACTCCACAAAACCCCCGGGCCCAGTGCAGGGGCTGACTAAAAGGTACTGTCTTCTGTGGGAGGATGTGGCTTGCCGCTTTTTTCTCCGTGCTGCCTCAACGTCTGCTTTCAAGACTGTCATCCTGCTCTCTTCCCCCAGAAGCCTTCTTGCCGCTTTGCGGTGCCCCCCGTGGGCGTGACACCCACCCTTGGTGCAATCAAGGGACTCCACGACCTCGCTGAGGCCAGCGCAGGGGCTGCCGGTAACACACTGTTGTCCATGGGAGGACCCCAGCCCACCGCTTTTTACCCCTTCCTGCCTGAATATCACCTTTCAAGTCTGGCATCCTTTTCCCTTTCCCCGGAGGCCTTCTTGCTTCTTTGGGGTGCCTTCTGTAAACGCGACACACACCCTGGGTGCAAGTGAAGGACTCCACGATACCCCCTGGCCAGGTGCAGGGGCTGCCAGGAAGGCATTGTCATCCGTGGGATGACCCCGGCCCACTGCTTTTCCCCCGGGAAGCCTCAACATCTCATTTAAAGCCTAGCGTCCTGTTCCCTTTCACCTGGGGACTTCTTTCCGCTTTGGGTTGCCCCCCATGGGCGAGAAGCCTGTGTGCAAGACAGGGACTCCACGACTCCCCCGGGCCCGGCGCAGGGACTGCCAGGAAGGCACTGTCGTCGGTGGGAGGACCCCGACCCCCCGCGTTTTTCTCCGTGCTGCCTCAACGTTCCATTTCAAGCCTGGCATCATGTTCCCTTCCCTAAAGGCCTTCTTTGGGGTGCCCGCGTGGGCGCTAAACGCACACTGGGTGCAAGCCAGGGACTCCACGACCACCCCAAACCCGGCGCAGGGTCTGCCGGGAAGGCACTGTCATCAGTGAAATGACTCCGGCCCGCCGCTTTTTTCCCCGTGCTGCCTCAACGTCCCCTTCCAAGCCTGGCGTCCTGTTCTCTTCCCCCAAAAGCATTCTTGCTGCTTTGGGGTTCCCCCGTGGGCGCGACACGCACACTGGGTGCAAGCCAGGGACTCCACGACCGTCCCAGGCCAGGCACACGGGCTGCCGGGAACACACTGTTGTCCATGGGAGTACACCGGCCTGCTGCTTTTCTTCCCCGTGCTTCCTCAACGTCCTCTTTCAAGCCTGGCGTCCTGTTTCGTTTTCTCAGAGGCCTACTTGCCGCTTTGGCATGTCCCCACTGGGTGCGACACGCACCCTGGGTGCAAGCCAGGGACTTGATGACTTCCCCGGGCGCGGTGGAGGGGCTGCTGGGAAGGCACAGTCGTCTTTGGGAACTGTTTCCCTGGAGCGTCTCAACGTCGCCTTACAAGCCCGGCATCCTGTTTCCTTCCCCTGCGGGCCTTCTTGCCGCTTTGGGGTGCTACCCATGGGTGAGACACGCACCCTGGGTGCAAGCCATCCACGACACCCACCCCCCACCCCCCCGCCCACTGTCCTGGCGCAGGGGCTGCTGGAAAGGCACTGTCATCCATGACACGTCCCCGGCCTGCCGCCTTTTTCCCCATGCTGTCTCAACGCCCTCTTTCAAGCCTAGCGTCCTGTTTCCTTACCCCTATGGCCTTCTTGCCGCTTGGAGGTACCCCCGGGGGCTAGACACGCACCCTGGGTGCAAGCCAGGGACTCCACGACTTCCCTGGTTCTGGCACAGAGGCTGCTGGGAAGACTCTGTCCTCCGTGGGAAGTTTTTCCCTGGACTGCCTCAACATCCCCTTTCAAGCCTGGTGTCCTGTTCCCTTCCCCGAAAGGCCTTCTTGCCGCTTTGGGGTGCCCACCGTGGGCGCGACACCCACCCTGGGTGCAAGCCAGGGACTCCATGACTTCTCTGGGCCCGGCGCAGAGGCTGCTGGGAAGGCACTGTATTCGGTGGGAAGTTTTATCCGACTGCCTCAACGTCCCCTTTCAAGCCTTGCGTCCTTTTCCCTTCCCCCGGGGGCCTTCTTGCCGCTTCGGGGTGCCCCCCATGGGAGAGACACGCCCGCTGGGTGGCAGTAAGGTACTCCACGACCACTCCGCGCTTGGCACAGGGGCTGCGGAGAAGGCACTGTCGTCCGTGGGAGGACTCCAGCCTCGCCGCTTTTGCCGCCGGGCTGCCTCAACATACCCCTTCAAGCCTGACATGCTGTCCCCTTCTTTCGGGGGCTTTCTTGCCGCTTTGAGGTGCCCCCCGTGGGCGAGAAACGCACCCTGGGTGCAAGCCAGGGATCCAGGATACCCTTGGTTCCAGCGCAGAGGCTGCTGGGATGGCACTACTGTCAGTGGGAGGATCCCAGCCCACCGCTTTTTCCCTGTGCTGCCTCAACATCTTCTTTCAAGCTTGGCATCCTTTTCCCTTCCTTCAGGGGCCTTAGTGCCGCTTTGGGATGCCCCCCGTGGGCACGACACGCCCCTGGGTGCAAGGCAGAAACTCCATGACCCCCCTGGACCGAACACAGGGGCTGCCGGGAAGACACTGTCATCCGTTGGATGACGCTGGCCCGCCTTTTTTTATTTTTTATTTTTCCGTGCTGCCTCAACGTCCCCTATCAAGACTGGCGTCCTGTTCCCTTCCCCCAGAGGCCTTCTTGCCACTTTGGGGTGTCCCCTATGGGCTTGACACGCACCCTGGGTGCAAGTCAGGAACTCCACAACTTCCCAAAGCCCGGCCCAGGGTCAGCTGGGTAGGCACTGTTTTCCATGGGAAGTTTTTTCCCAGACTGCCTCAAAGTCCCCTTTAAAGCCTGGCTTCCTGTTCTCTTCCCCCGGGGGTCTTCTTGCCGCTTTCTGGTGCCCCTTGTGGGGGTGACACGCACCCTGGGTGTAAGCCAGGGACTCCACGACCCCCGCGGCTTCTGTCCTTATTTATGGTAAAAGTAGGGAACTCTGCTTATGCACATCAACGGAATCATTATTATAAACAGATACCTTGGACTGGGGTATTTTGTACCCCATTGGCTCACCTTTCGTATTACTAAAGAAGGCTTTCTCACCGAGTTTTTGTCACACTCCTTCCCCGCCAGTTGCCCCTCGTTGTGCCTGAAGATTCGCTCATGGCCGCCTGACGAAGAAAGTCGTCTGCCTTACGACCAAAAGCCTGTGGCAAATTTTGAGTACTTTCTATCAGGGCCGTTGCCTGGCATGCATGTACTCACCCCCAAAGTCCCTCTGTTTATCCGCCCTTCTCTCTCGGGCAAAAGGCCTCCCCAAGGCCCACACACCACGATGGTGCACAGAATCTTACCACAATCGCTCCCAAGTCTTGTGCGCACTTGGCAGAGTGGAGCATGGGACATACACTTGACAGACAAGGCGGCATCTCTTATCGAGTGGGAGGGGCCTGCCTCACTCATCCGCCTCGCCCCACCCAACGACCTCTTCAGGACGCACTTGCAAACACCGTAGTGTTGGTTGTAGGAGAGGGCACTTGGGGTTGGCACAACCCACCACTGTTTTGTCTCGGGCACGTGGTAGCAATCTGGAGCACTACTGGATCACCACAAAGGCCCAGGTGGTGCCAACCCTTTCGCATCCCAGAAATGTTTTGTAGGGACAGTCCCCTATGGCCCGGGAGAGGTGCCCTGTCCACCCCCAAGGCAACAACCACAGGAAGCCAGAGCAAAGGTGCCTGCTGTGTCAGAAGACTCCATCAATCTTCTAGAAGCCAAGGCACAAGGTGTGAGGGCAGCGAGGTCATGCCAAATTCCCTGCCCCATGCCTCCCAGGAGGCAGGGAGGAGAGACGAGGGGCCTCACGAGCAGAACGAGAAGAACGGTTTCATTCACCATGAATTTCCATTATTTGCTCCTCCTGGCTTAGTCCCGGCCCAGGAGAGCGTGATGTCACCACATATATCATGAAAAGCCCCATAGCGAGGCGGTGGTTGAGTGGGGGTCAGTCTTGATGAACCTGATGGGCATAACAGCAAAGCCAGCCTCACTCTAGGATAGGGACAGCAGACAATTTAAGGAAGAGAATGCCTGATGTGCACAGCACAGAGCCAACAGGGTGGGGTTGTTCTGACCACCTCTTGTGCCCGCAGTGGGGAAGCACACAGGTCGGGGAGCCCAAGCTGCCTGCTGCCTTCCCTGCCAGGGTCAAAGGCCCAGAGACCCAGGGCACCACTGACAGTTATGACACTAGGATGTGTGAGAGCAAGCACACGGGTCCCAGCAATCAGCTCAAGCTGGAGCAGGGCCTGTTAGCTGGGTTGCCAGTATACTAGAGCTTCACATGCATCTAGAGGCCCAATCTAATCCCCAGACAAGGAGTCAGCAACAACCTGGTGGCCCAAAATGCCAACTCGGAGTGAAAGATATACCTCGCCTGGGGGCAGGGTGTCGAGTCACCGACCACACCACTAGCCCAGAAATGAGCGATCTGGACATCTATCCCCAAAAAGGCCACCATGGCAGCCAGACACGGAACACCCAGGGCCCTCTGGTCAACCCCAGGACACACACAGGAGCAGCAGAGGGCCAGGGACACCCTCCTGGCCACCTGTGCAATGCAGGGTCTGGCCCGTTTCTCCAGAGCGAGACTCAGAGTCATTTTTGGCCAGTCCCTCACATGACCAGATCACATGAGGGACCAAAGCCTGGCCAGGTGTCACCTCTCGGACCACATGCGTGCTCAGGGACCGCTCTCTGACTCTGCACAGGAACTTGGAAAAAAAGATCAGGGCAGATGGACTAGGGCTGGGCCCTGTGACCGCTCCTTGGTAACCAGAGGACAGTGCAGGATGGTCCCTGACTCCACCAGGGACTTGGAAAATAATTCAGCAGATGCCTCAGATGGCCAGGACCTGCACTGGCCTGCCGCTGGGCCAGGAAGGGCATCCCCAGCCACCCGCACAATGCCCCTGCGTCTCAGGTCAAGCCTCAGGAGTTGTGGAATGCTATTCGACCAGCCGGGGCAGCCCCACACTGCCCTTGTGCACGGAAGCACGGAAAGAGACTCCCCCCACAAAGCCCTGCATGACTGAGCTCTGACTCACAAGTGACACTCCAGAGCTCCAGATGGCAGGGCAGCCCATGACTGGGAAGCCCAAACCATGATTTGAAGTTTTTTTGAGGCCAAAAATGCAGCCCCTCCTCCCCAAGTTCACAGAAACCGTTCCCCAAACATGTTTCTGCATAGACTGCTATAGAGTCAAAAGACAACCTGTGGCACGCGGGAGTTTGAAGATGCATCTCGGAAGAAGAAAGAAGAAACGGGACTTCGTTGCTGGTCAGTTAGGACACAGGAAGATACAGAATGAGGAGAGTCTTCTAGAATCCAGACAAAGACAGACAGAGGAAGGGAGGGAGAGAGGGAGAAAGGGAATGGAGAAAAGAGACAGACGGAGGAAGGGAAGGAGGGAGGGAAGGGAGTAGTGAGGGAGGGAGGGAGGAAGGAAATGAGAAACAGAGAGAGACAGAATTTTAAAAATCTAGAGAAAGAAATATAAAGAAAGAAAGAAAGAGACATAGAGAGAGAAGAAAGATGAAATAGATAAAGAATGAGGAAAGAAATGAAGGAAAGCCAGGAGGAAAAAAACAGAGAGAGGAAAGAAAAAAGAAAGAAGAAAAAAGAAAAATAATAAAAGACAGTAGAAGAAAGAAAGAAAGAAAGAAAAGACAAGAAATAAAGATAGAAAGAGAAATAAAAAGGTAAGGAGGAGAAAATAACAAAGAGGGCAGGGCATGGTGACTCACATCTATAATCCCAACACTTTGCGAGGTTAGGTGGGAGAATAGCCTGAGCCCAGGAGTTTGAGATCAGCTCTGGCAACATAGCAAGACCCTGTCTCTACTTAAAGAAAAAAAAAGGGGAAAAAAGTTAGCATGGAATGAGGATATGCGTCTGTAGTCACAGCTCCTCGAAAGGCTGACATAAGACCATCTCTTGGACTCAGAAGGTCGAGGCTATGGTAAGCCATGGTCAGGCCAATGCACTGCAGCCCACGTGACAGAGCTAGATTCTGTCTGAAAAACTTGAACCAATAAAGATTGCGAGTCCTGCAAGAAAAAATATAAAGGAAATGAAGAAGGAGGTCGATTTCTGAAAGGAAAAATATTTTTAAAAGAAACAATGGGTGGGTGCAGTGGCTCTCGGCTGTAATCCCAGCAATGTGGGAGGCTGAGGTGGGTGGATCACCAGGTCAGGTGTTCGATACCAGGCTGGCCAATATGGTGAAACCCTGTCTCTACTAAAAATACAAAAATTAGCCAGGCATGGTGGCATGCACCTGTAGTCTCAGTTACCTAGGCAGGTCAGGTGTGGGGGGCAGTGGTGAGGCAGAAGAACAGCTTGAACCCGGAAGGTGGAGGTTGCCATGAGTTGAGATGGAGCCACTGCACTCCAGCCTGTGTAACACAGTGAGATTCCATCTCAAAAAAATCAAAAAAGAAAGAAAAAGTAAAAAGAAGGAGGAAGAGAGAAATATGGAAAGAGATAGAGAAAGAAAGAAGAGAAAGAAAGGAAAAAGGATAGAGGAAGAAAGAAAGAAAAAAAGAAAAGAAAGAAAGAAAAAAGGAAGGAAGGAAGAGAGAAAGGGAACTGGAGAAATAAATTCGGAAGACAGAGATGAAAGGAGAAAGATAGAAAGATGAATAAAAAAAACCTCTAAAAAGTAGTAAGGCCCAGGGTGGGGCTATGACACACTTTCCACTTTACCAATATCCTGGCCAGGGAAAGAAAAATATTATAATGGTAAAAAGTGACTACGGTGGCTTAGCTAGGGTGGTTGAGTTTCCCTAGGGAGGGAAGGAGGAAGAGCAAAGCTGCCAGAATCGAAGGAGAGATACTGAGGTGAGGGGGAGGGGACAAAACAGGACGGGGAGAGGACGGTGGCACAGTAGTTCACTCTGGAATGTTTTCTAACCTTCCAGAACCTCCTGGATGGGGCAACAAGGAGGGCAACTCAGGACAAAATCTGACTCCAGAAATGACACCAAATTCATAGTGCTGCCATTGCTGCCTTGAAAGGTGTGTAGTGCATGTTTCTTCCTCCACACTCATTTGGTTATTTCTAGGAAATGCCATTTAGTCCCACACGCTTGACATTTACCTGCTTTCACAACATCTGGGGAGAATCAGAAAAGTCTCCACTAACAAAAAGGCCTAGGGTGGAGCTGCCATCTTTAAAACCGAGGCAGAAGAGTCCACACGGATCAAACACACAAAGAAAAGGAACCAGCTGATCAAAAAGATCAACAATCTGGCGCAGCCAGAATCTCCAGAGGTTTTCTGGGCAACGAGGGAGTGGGAGAACAGATGGACAGAGGTAGGGTGGGCCTCCAAGGGCAGGGGTGGGGGCAGGGGGTGCAGAGAGAAACCACACTCACTCCTTACCATGGGCGGGTGGCCACAGCATCCTGTGTGCCACCTAGACTTCAAAAACGGATGAGAGTGTCAGCCCAGCACCCTCTGAGGAGCTCCCAACAACTAATCTACCAGAGCCCCTGCAGAGGAAGAAGCATGTTTTCCCTGGCTTGGGAAAACATGGAGAAACACATGCACGTACGCATGTACAAATGCATGTGCCATATCCCATGATATAGATGAGTTTATACTATTGCCGAGACCAGCTCGGCTGGGGAGACCCTAACCCAGTGGCGCTACAGGAATTAAAGACACACACACAGAAATATAGAGGTATGAAGTGGGAAATCAGGGGTCTCACAGCCTTCAGAGCTAAGAGCTCCGAACAGAGATTTACCCACATATTTATTAACAGCAAACCAGTCATTAGCATTGTTTCTATAGATATTAAATTAAGTAAAAGTATCCCTTATGGGAAACAAAGGGATGGGCCAAATTAAATGAATAGGTTGGGCTACTTAACTGCAGCAGGAACACGCCCTTAAGACACAGATTGCTCATGCTATTGTTTGTGGCTTAAGATTGCCTTTAAGCGGTTTTCTGCCCTGGGTGGGCCAGGTGTTCATTGCCCTCATTCACGTAAACCCACAACCTTCCAGCTTGGGCAATAGGGCCATTACATACATGTCATAATGCTGCAGAGATTTTGTTTATGGCCAGTTTTGGGGACTGTTTATGGCCAGATTTGGGGGGGCTAGGTTCCAACATACTATGATAGTGAGAGAGCCCATTTCTAGTAACAAAAGAAGTGGCTGGGAGTGGTGGCCCACACCCATCACCCCAGCACTTTGGGAGGCCAAGGTGGGCAGACCACCTGAGGTCAAGAGTTCCAAACCAGCCTGGTCAACAGGGCAAAAAACCACCTCTAAGAAAAATCCAAAAATTAGCCAGGCATGGTGGTGGGCACCTGCAATCCCAGCTCCTTGGAGGCTGAGGCATGAGAATCACTTGAACTCGGGAGGTGGAGGTTGCAGTGAGCTGAGATCTCACCACTGCACTCCAGCCTGGGCAACAGAGGAAGACTCCAATAACAACAACAAAAAAAAGTCAATCGCTTCCACCTTTAGATGAATAAACTCTTACGCTTAGGCAGATAGCTTAGAGGGTATATAAGCTTTACAAACCTTTGTAATTTTGAGTCGGTCTGGTGATATTTCCAGGCCTTCTCCCTCTAAGTGGTCACAGAAATTAAAAACTCCATCCTTTTTCAGTTCATCTGCATCTTGTTGTCAGGACACAAGAATAAGCAGCCCAACCCTCAGTTTGGTCTGGGAACAATTACACTCCAGCCCAGGTGACAGAGGGAGACTTTGTCTCAGAAAAGAAGCAAGAAAACAATAATAATAATAATGAAGATAATTAGCCAGGCGTTGTGCTGTTTTGTGGCTCACACCCTTGCCTGTAGGCCCAGCTACTTGGGAGGCTGAGGCGGAGGAAGATCGCTTTGAGCCCAGCAGTTCAAGGTTGCAGCCAGCTATGATCCTACCACTGCACTCCAGCCTCAGCGACACAGGAAGACCCCGTCTCTAAAAAATACATGAATAAATGAATAGATGAATATAAAAAGATGCAAGGAGGTGGCAGAGCATGGGAAGGTTCCACTTGTTCCTAAAGACCAGAGCAGAAAAACAGGACCATCCATTTGAGACATAGGCTATTCCAAATCACAGAGGAGGTCTTGAGGATTTCGGAGCAAGGCCCTGCCATTATCTGCAGATAACCATTCTTCTTTTGAGCGACAGGCTCTCTCAGCTAGCCTCTGGCTGTTAGTAGAAACCAAATGCCCAACCGTGGGGCCACGAAGTTACCATGTGAGCTGAGCCACTCATCACACACTGGGCATAAGTGGGTGTGCACAGCAGCACTCCAGCATGACACGGAAGTGCTGTGGACCTG
Source organism: Homo sapiens (assembly GCF_000001405.40). Lineage (NCBI taxonomy): Eukaryota > Metazoa > Chordata > Mammalia > Primates > Hominidae > Homo > Homo sapiens. The sequence continues at coordinate 38,145,200 of NC_000012.12, read as the reverse complement.
ATTGGGTCTGAACAGATCCTGAAGCACAAGTAAGTTCCATGAGAAAGTGGCCCAAATGCCCATGGTACCCAGTCAAGAAATGAGCTGAGTTATGAAATTACACATAGCTGGGCGCAGTGGCTCATGCGTGTAACCTCAGCACTTTGTGTGGGGAAACCAGCCTTGCACCAGCCAGTGGGTACCCCGAGTCCGGCAGAGACAAAGGAGTTGGAAAGAGACAAAATAAGTGTTAAAGTGGCGGGTCCAGGGGACAGGAGCATCGGAGGCTTGCTCACGGCCCAGAGCTCTCGGGCTCCACTGAATTCATTGGCTTACAAGCTGTTTGTTCTTAGGGCAGATGGGAGGGGTAGAAAGGGATGAGGAAAAGGATTAATCAGTGAAAGAGAACTCGTGAGTCATGCAATAAGATGTGTAGGAGTGGCGGTTTTTGTGAATTTCCTTGAGCAAAGGTGTGTGTCTAAACTACTTAAGATATTTAACTTATCGGGACTGAAATGGATGGGAGTGGATTTCAGGAGGAGCCAACATGTTCGATTATATTCCACTGCTTCAAGGGAGTGTGGTATCTCCCTTAACAACCTGTGGAATGCCTCTGAGCTGTTATGCTCTCAGGGCATAAAGACATGAAGGCAATAAGGAGACTTTTCTCCTCAGAGGCCGCCCATGACTCCCCATGGGTGTCTCACAAAGGAGAGACCAACTCATCTAGCACCCAGAAATTCTTTCTCACACTTTGAGAGGCTGAGACGGGTGGATCACTTGAGGTCAGGAGTTTGAGACCAGCCTGGCGACCACAGCGAAACCCTGTCTCTACTAAAAATACAAAAATTAGTCAGGTGCAGTGGCATGTGCCAATAGTCGCAGCTACTGGGGAGGCTAAGGCAGGAAAACTGCTTGAACCTGGGAGGTGGAGGTTGCAGTGAGCCATGAGCATGCCACTGTGCTCAAGCCTCGGTGACACAGTAAGACTCTGTCTCAAAACAAACAAAAACTTAATTTAAAAAAAGAAAGTACACATAGAAAGTACACATAGCTGGGTGCAGTGGCTCACACCTGTAATCTCAGCACTTTGGGAAGCTGAGACAGGTGGATCACTTTGTAGCATCATTGCTGCCTCAAAAAGACAAAGGCATATGTTTATGTCAGTGTTGGTTTTATTTTTATTTTCTTTTTTCCTGGAGACTCGCTTATTTTTTATTTTATTATTATTGTTACTATTATGTTGGATACGGAGTTTCGCTCTTGTTGCCCAGGTTGGAGAGTAATGGTGCAATCTCGGCTCACCGCAACCTCTGTCTCCTGGGTTCAAGTAATTCTCCTTTTTTGGCCTCCCGAGTAGCTGGGATTACAGGAAAGCGCCACCACGCCTGGCTAACTTGCTATTTTTAGTAGAGACAGTTTCTCCGTGTTGGTCAGGCTGGTCTCGAAATCCCAACCTCAGGTGATTTGCCCACATCAGCCTCCATAAGTGCTAGGATTACAGGTGTGAGCCACTACGCCTGGCCTCTTTCCCCCCCCCCCCTTTTTTTTTTTTTTTTTTGAGACTGAGTCTCACTCTGTTGCCCAGGTTGGAGTGCAGTGGTACTATCCTGGCTCACTGCAACCTTAACCTACTGGGTTCAAGCAATTCTCCTGCCTCAGCCTCCTGAGTAGCTGGGATTACAGGTGTGCACCACCATGCATGGCTAGTTTTTTGTATGTTTAGTAGAGATACGTTTTCACCATACTGGCCAGGCTGGACTTGAACTCCTGACCTCGTGATCTGCCTGCCTCTGCCTCCCAAAGTGCTGGGATTACAGGTGTGAGCCACCACTCCCGGCATATTTATTTATTTTTTTAACTGATCAAAGAAGAATCAGACCCAGTCATCAGGGTGGTGATTCCCTAGGAAACAAGGGAGGGAGAAACTTGGAGGTGGCGGCAGGAGAAGTGGAGACGACACAGTTGCCCTGGGCTGTGTACAGGCACCATGAACTTTCTTCTTCCTTGAGGCCTCAGTTTTCAGAGTAACAGTGGCCACTAGGTGATGCCCAAAGTCTGCCAATGAGAGTTTCAGCCTGGAATGAATTGGCATCACCCGGAGGGGGAGAAGGGAGGGGAAGGGTAGAGGCTCCCACAGTACAGTGGGTCACCACGCTCTCCCAGGCAGTCCCCACAACTAATAGACCAGGGCCCCTGGGGGGACACAGTCTAAGTCCCCACCCATCGGATCATCTGGAACTTCCATCCAGAGACCGACTGGAAATTCTCTCAGTCAAGCTCCAAACCTAAAAGAATCACTGGCACACCCACCAGGACTAAGACAACTTTTAAAAGAATTGTTTCTGTGTTTTGGGTGCATCCGTGTATTTCTGTACAACAAAATTATTTATTTTAAACTTTATGAGTTTTTGGGACTCATCAGCTCTGAGTCCATGAGGCCAGAAGCTGATATCCTCAGTTCCTATTTAGAATGAATTTAAACAAGCCAGCCAAACACTCTGCCGTGAAACTCCTGGAAAGACAAGAGATTAAAAAAAGAAACAAACAAACAAACAAACAAAAAACAATGCTGTCAGGAGCAGTGGCTCACGCCTTTAATTCTCGAACATTGGGAGCCTGAGGGCGGGTGGATTCCTTGATCCCAGGCAATCAAGACCATACTTGGCAACATGGTGAAGCCTCGTCTCTACAAAAATACAAAAATTAGCTGGTTTCATAATATGGAGTCAAAATTAATAAATAAATAGATTGAAATTTAAAATTTAAAAAAATCTTAAATACCATATTCTGTTATTTTTGCTTCCTACCCTGAGAAGGACATAATATAGCTCTTGTCTGTCTGTCTGTTTGCTACAGGGTATCACTCTGTCTGTCACCCAGGCTGGAGTGCAGTGACACCATCACGGCTCACTGCAGCCTCAACCACCCCAGGGTTAGGTGATTCTCCCACTTTAGCCTCCTGAGTAGCTGAGACCACAGGCATGCACCTCAGGTTTTGGCCGTGTTGTCCAAGGCTGGTCTTGAGCTCCCAGGCTCAAGCGATCCTACCGCCTTGGCCTCCCAAAGTGTTGGGGTTGCAGGTGTAAGCCACCACACCCAGCCTGACTTAATACATCTGGTCTCACTATGTCCTGACCACATGCCCTTGAAGAACTCGAGTCAAGAGAGTCAGCAAGAGACTTTCAGCATTCTCTCCCGAAAGCAGTGAGGTGGATGGCGGCCAAGTATCCCACACTCCTGTGGTTTTAGGTGGCCACGCATAGAGGACAGATTTCAAATGTTTCCAGAGAGGAGTGAGCCACAGTCATTCGGGGTATCCAAGCTCGTGATGGTGTTTCTGACAGTGCCTTAAGGGCCAGAAAGGGCCGGGATCTGCAAAGGCCCATGTTCCAGGGTGGGGACAATGGAACCCAAGGTATAGGGAGTCAACAATCTGCACTGAGCTCCAGCCCTAAACCCCACCGTGGAGACTAAATCAGAAGGAACAGTCCCTTGTCCTACATGCCACATCTCTCCACTGAACTTGGGAGCAGATCTGTTTTCCAAACATGAGGTGACTCTTGGTTTGAAATGAATCACAAGGGGCCCAGCTTCTTGAGTCAGCAGGATAAAGAAGTCATTCTGTGGCATAGAATGATGTGTGCTTCAAATCTAGAATTCCCAGTTAAAACCAATGATGGTGGCCTGGCACAGTGGCTCATGACTGTCATCCCAGCACTTCGGGAGGCCGAGGCTGGAAGATCACGAAGTCAGGATTGGGAGATCAGCCTGGCCAACATGGTGAAGCCTTGTCTCTACTAAAAAAGACAAAAGTTAGCTAGATAGGGTGGCACGTGCCGGTAATTTCTGCTGATAGGGAGGCTGAGGCAGCAGAATTGCTTGAACCAGGGAGGCAGAGAGTGCAGCCAGCTGAGACAATGCCACCGCCTCGGCAACTGAACGAGACACCATTTACACAGGAGGATAAAAGAACAACAGGGTCCCTGACAGGATGGAGGTTCCCTAGGCAGCGAAGGAGAGAGGGAGGGGCCTCCAGAGGGGAAATAGAGAAAGTGGTTGTCCCAGGCTCTGTGAAGTTGGACAGGCCTCCCTCAGTGCCACCTCGACTTTCAATAACAGTGGTTACTAGGTGATGCTCTATTTATTAAACAACAACAACAACAACAACAAAAAACACATTTATTTTGAAAAATTGCAATTTAGGCCGGGTGCAGTGACTCACGCCTGTTATCCCAGCACTTTGGGGGGCTGGGGCAGACAGATCCCTGAAGGTCAGGAGTTCAACACCAGCCTGGGCAACATGGTGAAACTCTGTCTCTACTAAAAAAACAAAAGTTAGCTGAGTAGGGTGGCATACGCCTGTAATCCCAGCTACTTGGGAGGCTGAGGCAGGAGAATCGCTGGAACCAGGGAGGCAGAGATTGCAGCCAGCCGATACCACGCCACAGCCTGGGCTACAGAATGAGACTCTATTTAAAATAAATTAATAAATAAATAAGTGAATGAATGTATGTAAAAAGAAAAATGCAAGGAAATGGCGGAGCACGGGAAGGCTCCACTCATTCCTAAAGAACAGAGCAGAAAAACAGGACCATCAAGTTGAGACATGGGCCATTTTGAATATGTTGTCACCATGCTCAATTGGTACCAAAGAAGGGCAGGTTTCTGTGCCACCCGTCTGTCATCACCGCTCCTGTCAAGTATAATTGCAGGGTCACGACTACACAGAGATCTCTCAACCCACCGGATGCATCTGTACTTTTATGAGCCTGGTTGGGAGAATAAACAGGATATTTAGCAAAGTACTCATCGTGCGTTCTTTGGTCTCCCATGTCTCTTGTGAAACCAATTAAATTCATGGTCCGTTTTTTTTCTTTCCAGCCCTCGACCGTCCACAGAGTACCAAAATAAAAGAAGAGTGAATGCCTTTTATGCAACAAGGAGAAAAGAACAAAGCAAAAGTCTCAGAGGCTTGTGATACACAGGGGATACAGAATGAGGAGACTCTTCCAGAATCCACACGAAGACAGACAGTTGGAGGGATGGGAGGAAACGAATTGAGAAAAGACAGACAGCAAAAAAGATTAAAAAAAAATGTAAAGAAAAAGAGACAGAGATGTAAAGGGAAGAAAGATAACGAAGAAAATAGAAAGAGAAACAGAAAAAGAGAATGAGAAATGATAGAAGGGAGGAAGAAAAAGAGAGAGAGAAGAAAGAAAAAGAAAAGAAAGAAAGAAAAAGAAAGAAAGAGGAAGAAAAAAGGAAAAATAAAGGAAATGAAAAAGAGGGAAGCGCATCATGGTTCACACCTATAATCCCAACACTTTGGGAGGTTGAGGTGGAAGAATCACTTGAGCCCAGCAGTTTGAGACCAGCCCTGGCAACACAGTGAGACCACGTCTCTACTTTAAAAAAGAAAAAATTAAAAAGTTAGCCGGGCGTGATGGCAGGCGCCTGTAGTTTCAGCTCCTTTGGAGCCTGAGGTGGGAGCATCATTTGGGCTGGGGAGGTAGAGGCTGTGGTGGGCCTTGGTCAGGCAAATGCACTGCAGCCTGTTGCCCAGGCTCATCTCGAACTCCCAAACTTTAGCGAACCGCCTGCCTCAGCCTCCGAACTTGCACCTGCCATATCCAACGGCCCTGGGAGTATCAGTGATAGATTTTAGTAGACACGGTTGTTATGCCATATTGCCCAGGTTGGTCTCGAACTTGAACCCGGGAATATGAGGCTACAGTGAGCCAAGGTCGTGCCACTGCACTGCAGTCTGGGTGATAGACCAAGACTCCATCTCTAAATAACTAAATAATAAAAACAATAACAATTATAACAAACAATAATACAAATAAATAATAACAACAACAATAATAATAAACTAGTGGGAGTGAAAAATATAACAAGTAATTTAGATCACAATTAATTGTAGTAATTTCAAGGAGTTATTTCTTTAACCTGTCTCTCTTACTTTCTGAAACAGGGTCTTTCTCTGTCACTCAGGCTGGAGGGCAGTGGCGTGATCATGGCTCACTGCAGCTTCGACATCCCAGAATCAAGCTATTCCTGCAGTCTCAGCCACTTGGAAGACTGAGATGGCAAGATCACCTGACGGAGCCCAGGAAGGTCCAGGCTGCGATGAGCCGAGATCGCATTCTCACACGCCAACTTTTCTCAAAAAAAAAAAGGAAGTAAACGTAAAACAACAGCAACTTCAGTGTGTAGAAAGAGGAGTAAGAAAAGTAAAAGGAAAAATAAAAACAAAATGAAGAGCAACTGAAAATACTGTGGAAACAATTGGAGAGGAAGAAACAACGTAGTGAAGGAGCGACATCTAGTGGACAAAAGTGGTAGTGCTGCTGACCAGAGTTATCTGTTATTCCTTAGAAATCCCAGGTTGATGGTCAGTTCCAACGCTCGCCGCAGACGTCTGGGGGACCCGGCGCCAGCGGACGGAAGCGGTCGGACCCAGTTGGAATCTTATCACACAGAGCCGGCCCACCTTTACTGTCATCTAACTCCACCGACCTGCCCGCCGTTCCCCCACTGTCCGCTGGTTGAACCCGGCAGCGGAGAGAGAAGGAAAGGCACAAAGGCAGTGACTGGCTCATATCCCAGCCCCGCGCACCTGGGGCGGGGAGAGGGGCAGTGACCCCAAAGGCCACCACCGGGCATGCGTGAACATTACTGGGACAGAAACCTCAGGGGCACACCCTCCGACACCCACGCCTCAGCCATTCTCAACAGGCTCAATGAATCCGATCCCAGCCCCTGGAGGAGTTCCCAGAGGGGTGTGGGGAGGAGGTGGAATCGGAGAGGTGGAACTACGAGCAGGTGCGCCACCCCTACCTCGGCAATCCCCCGCGTGGCATCTTGGAAAGCCCGCCGGTGGGGACGGGCGCCTCCCAAATGCACAGCGGGCGCTGATGGGCTCTGGCGAGAGACACCCGCTGTGTGTTCCGGAGCTCCGGGGCGGGTGGGCATGAGCGGGCCAGGGAACGAGGTCCCCAGGGGCAACAGGAGGGAGGAAGAAAAGTACACGTCAAAGGTTGAATTACACAAGGACACGCCATATCACCGGGTCCCCCACACACGGGTGGAGAGACCCTTGTGTGGAGATCTGATTTTCAATAGATGGCAGGGAGGGAGCTGCTCTGCTCCATAGAAAACCCTGACCCAGAAGCAGGGCGTCTACGAATAGCTTAGCATCAGGTTCCCCACAAACACATTACGTGATGGGTCAGGGAGTGACCGCCTTTCTGGCAGCAGCGCGTTTCCCAGGATGAAGGGCTGTCTGCACCAGACCCCGGTTCCCGGCGCACGGCGAGGATCGCCTATCCGAGGCCAACAAAAGGTCCGTGGAGCTGCCATATCCCTCCTGGGCGGGATTCTGACTTAGAGTCGTTCAGTCATAATCCTACATATGGTAGCTTTACCCCATTGGCTCCTCAGCCAAGGACATAGGCCAAATGTCTGAACCTGTTGTTCCTCTTCTACTGAGCAGGATGACCATGGCAGCAACACATGAGGAACACACAATAAAACTAACCTGTCTCACATGGGTCTAACCAGAATGCTTTCCAGGGCATGCGCACAGCTCTCCGGTGAATCCATTCCAGTTTGCCTTGCCCTACCCAAAGAAAAGAGAACTCTCCAGGCGCGGTGGTTCATGACTGTAATCCCAGCAATTTAGGAGGCTGAGGAGGGCGGATCACCTGAGATGAGGAGTTCAAGATCAGCTTGGCCAACATATTAAAACCCTGTCTCTATAAAAATACAAAAATTAGCCGGGCACGATGGCGGGTGCCTGTAATCCCAGCCACTCAGGAGGCTGAGTTGCCCAGGCTGGCGTGCAGTGTCTTGATCTCTGCGGCAAACTCCACCTCCCGGGTTCAAGTGATTCTCCTGCCTCTGCCTCTTGAGTATCTTGGTCTACAGGCGCGCATGCCACCGCGCCCGGCTTTTGTATTTTTAGTAGAAACAGGGTTTCACCATGTTGACCAGGCTGGTTTTGAAATCCTGACCTCAAGCCGTCTGCCTGCCTTAGCCTCCGAAAGTGCTGGGATTACAGGCGTGAGCCACTGCACCCGGCCTATGTGTTTGCTTTTTAAACATCTCTTTCTAGGGTCATGAGAATTCTCGTTAATTTCACTTAGAGCTCCTCGAGAGAAAAGCCTCTATTATTGTCATTGTAACCGTAAAAATAGTAGAGCTTTTTTTTTCTTTTGAGACAGAGTTTCGCTCTTGTTGCCCAGAGTGGAGTGCAATGGCCCGATCTCAGCTCACTGCAACCTCCGCCTCCCAGGTTCAAGCGATTCCCCTGCCTTGGCCTCCCAAGTAGCTGGGATTAGAGGCATGTGCCACCACGCCTGACTAATTTTGTATTGTTAGTAGAGACAGGATTTCACCATGTTGGTCAGGCTGTTCTCGAACTCCTGACCTCAGATGATCCACTTGCCTGGGCCTCCCAAATTTTTGGGATCACAGGCATGGGCCACTGTGTCCAGCTTTTTTTTTTTTTTTTTTTTTTTTTTTTTGAAACAGGGTCTCCTTCTATTGCCCAGGCTGGAACACAGTGGCATAATCATAGCTCACTGCAGCATCAAACTCCTGGAGCTCAAGCAATCCTCCAGTCTCAGCCTCCCAAGTAGCTAGGATTACAGGTGCACACTACCACGCCCAGGTAAATTTTTCTTTTTTTACACAAAAATGTCTCAACATGGATTTTTTTCTTTTTTGGCAGAGATGATGTCTCACTATGTGGCCCAGGCTTGTCTCAAACTCCCTGCCTCAAGCCATCCTTCCACCTTAGACTCCCAAAGTGCTAGGATTACAGGCGTGAGCCACTGCACCCAAGCCCCGATAATTTTTTTTTTTTTTTTTTTTGAGGCAGAGTCTTGCTCTGTCAACCAGGCTGGAGTGCAGTGGTGTACTCTCAGCTCACTTCAACCTCTGCCTCGCAGGTTCAAACAGTCCTCCCGCCTCAGCCTGCTGAGAAACTAGAATTACAGGCACATGCACGCCCGGCTAATTTTTGTATTTTTAGTAGAGACAGGGTTTCACCATGTTGGCCAGGCTGGTCTCGGACTCCTGACCTCAAGTGATCCACCTGCCGTGGCCTCCCAAACTGCTGGGATTATGGACGTGAGACACCGCACGCCGCTCCCAAGAACTCTTCAAATGCAACTAGTGTCACAAGAACAGATAGCTAAACTGTATCTGAAAACGTGGCCCATGCGGGGAAATTTTTGGTGGATTTGTGGAAACTTAGGGCAAATTTTAAACGTGAGGGCTTTTGTCAGATCACCTACATTCCTTGGATTCTATGTGGGTTTGTCACAGATGCTTGATGTGACAAATTACGCGGCTTCTACCACTTCATATGATCAGCCTCCCGTTGACTTTCAGCCAAGTCCTGCAGAGTTGCTTCTCAGATTGTATCTTTCCACAAGACAAAGATGTTTTCATAGTCTCTCTCTAACTTCCCCTTTTTGTGGCTGTTAATTTATACTTCTATGTTTTTCAACTCCTTATTTTTGTTTTCCTTTTATGAAAGCTTTAACCTGTGCTATTCTTGAGGGAAATACTGATGCATATCTAAACTTTAAAGGTGTTTTTCTCCCTGGCTACAGACACTCGGTTAATAATTTTTCAGGTAATAGGAAAAACCCATCATTATGACAATGTAGCAACTTTTATTTTGTAGTAACAGTTAAAATTGTAGCCATGGTGCTCAGTAAAAGGGGACCTTTCCCCGTAGGCGTTTGGGGAGGAGTGAAGTCCTGTCCTCCATTTTGTTAGTAACCTGATTATGGATGGGGCATTATCACCCAAAAAGGAAAGAGATACTATGGTATGCAGTTACAGGGAGCCGGAGCAAGAGCAAGACAAAGAAATTCCCTCATGTCTTCAATGCAGAGCCGGCATTTAGACCTCTACTCCAAGCAGGGCCCACAAATCTCTGGCAGCCGTGAGCACCTGTTTTGCTTCTGCCTTCTTCCTTTTGGCAATTTTGGGTATTGGGGTTTTTTTTTTTAGATAGACCCTCACTTCATCACCGGGCTGGAGTGCAGTGGTGTGATCTCGGCTCACTGCACCCTCTGCCTCCTGGGTTCAAGTGGATCCTCTTGTCTCAGCCTCCCAATTAGCTGGGACTACAGGTATGCACCACCACGGACAGCTAATTTTTGTATTTTTAGTAGAGATGGGGTTTCGCCATGCCGCCCAGGCTGATCTTGACCTCCTGATCTCAAGTGATCAGCCCACCTTAGCTTTTCAAAGTGCTGGGATTACAGTGTCAGTCACCGTGCCTGGTCTGTTGACAATTTGGGGAGCATGTAAAATATCTGCAGCACTTTCAGCCAGTAAAACACAGAAGACTATATTATGTGTCTTCTCCATTGTCCCTCTTTCTCTGCTTTCCTAAATATTAAAGGGTTCTCCTTTTCCCAAGCCCAGTGGAAAAGCCTCAGGCAGCATGGAGGTATCAGAAGCGTCCAAACGGATCCCATCAAGTAATTCCAAGTCACTGTCATTCACCCTATTGGAAGTTCCTGCCATCCTGTCTGCCCTGGAGGATTCCTAATGCAGGCAGATAATATCCTTGGTGTGCTGTTAGGCTGGAAGCCTCCCTTATCTTTGCTCTTCTGTTTGAGAAAAAAAAAATGACTGGGCATAGTGGCTCAAGCCTGTAATCCCAACACTTTGGGAGGCTGAGGCAAGCGGACCACTTGAGGTCAGGAGTTTGAGACCAGCCTGGCCAACATGGTGAAACCCCATCTCTACCAAAAATACAAAGGTTTGCCAGGCATGGTGGCAGACGCCTGTAATCCCAGCTACTCAAGAGGCTGAGACAGAAGAATCGCTCGAACCCGGGAGGCAGACGTTGCCGTGAGCCGAGATCACACCACTGCACTACAGCCTAGGCAACAGAGCAAGACTCTGCCTAAAAATATATAAATATATAATATAATATATAATATTTTATATGTATATATATTTTAATAAATGAATAGAATTCATCACCTAACTTCTAAAGGTACTTCTCTAGATGAAATTCTGGGCACTTAGGAGTCAGCAGTGGTATATTGAGTGCATGGCTCTTGCTCACAGGTGCTTCTTTTCTGTCCCATGGCAGGCAGCACCAAGAGAAGGCTTCTGCAAAGCCGAGAGCTACTTTTACCCATGGATCAAGAGTAAAGTTTGCAGCTACACTGTCAGGCTGTGTTTGGATGTTAGGAGTTAGTTTAGGGCATCTTCGAGCAATTTTTCTTACCAACTTAAAAAAAAAAGAAAAAGGAAAGAAAAGAAAAGAAAGTTTAAAATTTTCTTCATTGATCATTCAGGAGCATATTGTTTAATTTCCATATATTTGTAGAATTTCAGAAGTTCACCTGGTTGTTGACTTCTAGTTTTATTTCATTATGGTCAGGAAAAATACTCGATATAATTTCAGTTATTTTAAATTTGTTGAGACTTGTTTTGTGGCCCAACGTCTGTTCTATTCTGGAGAATGTTTCTTGTGCTGATGAAAGAATGTGTTTTCTGCATCTGTTGGATGAAATGTTCTGTAAATATCTCTTTGTTAGTCTAAAATGCAGTAGTTTTTTTTTGTTTTTTTGAGACAGTCTCACTCTGTTGCCCAGGCTGGAGTGCAGTAGCACGATCTCGACTCACTGCCACCTCCACCTCCCAGGTTCAAGCAATTCTCATGCCTCAGTATCCCAAGTAGCTGGGATTAGAGATGTCCACCACACACCCAGCTAATTTTTGTATTTTTAGTAGAGACAGGGTTTTACCCTGTTGGCCAGGCTGGTCTCAAACTCCTGGCCTCAAGGGATCTGCCTGCCTCAGCCTCCCAAGGTGCTGGGACTACAGGTGTGAGCCACCGCATCCAGCCTAAAGGGCAGTATAAATCTAGTGTTTTGTTCTTGATTTTCTATCTAGACGATCTGTTCAGTGCTGAGAATGGGGTGTTGAATTCCCCAGCTATTGTATTGGTGTCTATGTCTCCCTTTAGATATAATAATGTTTGGTTTATATTATATATCTGGGTATTACTGTTTTGGGTGCATATATATTTAGAATTGTTATGTCCTCTTGCTGAATTGATCTCTTTATCATTATATAATAACCTTTGTCTTTTTTAAAATCATTTTTGACTTAAAGTCTCTTTCATCTGATACAAGTACAGCTACCCTGCTTGCTTTTGGTTTCTGTTTGCATGGAATATCCTTTTCCAGCCTTTCAGTCTATGTGTGTCTTTGCAGATGAAGTAAGTTTCTTGTAGGCAACCTCTAGTTGGGTCATGTTTTTCAATCCATTCAGCCAGTCTATGTATTTTAAGGAGATAAATTTAATCAGTTTACATGCAAGATTATTATTGATAGGCGAGGACTTCTGTCATTTTGTTAATTATTTTCTGTTTTTTATATATCCTTTGTTCCTTTCTTCCCCTCTTATTGTTCATCCTTGTAATTTGGTCATTTTCTGTAGTGATAAAGTTTGATTCTTTTCTCTTTTTCCTTTGTGTATGTGCTCTACCAGTGAGTTTTATACGTTTTTTGTGTGTTTTATTGATAGTAATTATCATTTCACTTCCAGATGTGGGACCCCCTTTAGCATTTCTTGTAAGGCTGGTCTAGTGCTGATGAATTCTGTCTGTTTTTGCTTGTCTGAGACATGTCACACATTTAGCTTCCCTGCTCTGTGGCGACAAGTAGAAACAGATCCCTGGTACCCTGCTTAAGTACTAAGCCAGCTAAACGTGAGCAGAAGAGAAAATCAAATCCTTCTATTTTTCCAGGGATTAGTTCATTCCCAGGATTGTAAATATTACATTTCACTTTTCATCTCACAGAGCTGTGAGATTAGAAGGTGAGCTAGGCAGCCTGCCAAGCAGCACATTATGATGTATACAACACAGTGAACTACTAAGGAAGTGTCTTTAAAGGCATTTACAGCACATAGCTTTTTTTTTCTTTTAATTTTGCTGCTCTTTATTTGTAGTAGTAGATAAGGAATTAAGAAAGCAAAAATAAGTACTTTAACTAGGTCTTTTGCCTTTGAAAGTAGCATTAGTAAAATCCTCTCTTCTTTTTTATTCTTATAAACTTCACCCAATTCACTCTGCTCCCCAGCTCATCTGTGTTCACTTGCTGTTCTTGCTGCTCTCAGTTTTTAAAAGCTTATTCCAAAATTACATGAAAGCAACCCCATTTTGACAAAATTTGAATTCTGGTAGGAATGTCTTACCATGAGGCTGTTGAGAGAGGCCCAGCAAGACTTCTTTACTTTTTATTTCAACCTCTCTCAGTTAAACCTACAATTTGGTAGATGATATAATTACTTCTGTTGGGCAGGTCTGTATCTCTTGCCTTGGAGAAATAACAGAGTCCAAAGTAGTCTCCTTATTCAAAGATGTTGCAAATGAAGGCTGTTTTGATCTTTATGTATTAGCATTTGGGTTTTAATCTTTCTGGGACTCCTGACAGAAAATTCCTTTAAATTTATTATATAATTCTAAGATATTGGACATATTCGTTTCAAGCATCTGTCAATATCCTTACTCTTTTCATTCTACTTCCCACTGCCCTCATTAGTCATGAGGTCCTACTGATTTTTTACTCCTAAGTATTTCTCAAATCTGTCTCCTAAGTATGTATTATTGGTTATATAACTCCACCTCCATTGTCACTGTGCTGCTTTAGACTATCTTTTCTTGTCTAGATCAGTGCCTGGCTTATATTATAAGCTTCATAAAGTTGGATCAATGAATGAATGATTCATAATCTGGACAACTGCACTCTAACACTTTTTTAAAAAAAAATCTTAGATTTATCTTCCATGTGAAAGCATCTATCTAAAATGCAAATCTTACTTTGATAATTTCCAGCTTAATAAACTTCTTAGATGGCTCCCAGGCATCCCCAAAACCATCTCTCATTTCACTGATCAAAAAAGTAAAATTTAACAATTTTTAAACTAAAAATATTGAACATTTCATTGGTCAAAAAACAAAAACAAAAGTGATCTCTGAGCATGCCTCACTCACACCCTGCCCTGCTCTGCACCCCTCTCCCACCCCCACCCTACAGGGACCACCCAATAACCTCTTCTTTGCTACATAACCCTTACCCTCCTTCTTTAAGACTCATACTTTCTCCTTGGAAACTTTTCCCCCCACTTCTTGGAAACAGTAGATTCTTTCTTGCTTATGGCTTTTTTTAATGACATCAGCCATTTAGAACTCATGATGTGCCCAGTCCCCACTATCTGCCTCTCCACAGATCTTGCTCAGATAATCCATCAGGATTTAGTCACAGATCCAAAGTAAGGAGCTAGAAGGGAGCTTCAGGCTTGGTCTTTTTCAGCTGAAGCTAGAAAACTAATCTATGCTGAACACAAAAAAGAAGCTGAGTAATAGCCAATCTATACATCCTATGAATAACTATTGCTTTTTTTGCCCCCAGCCAGTCTCTTCACAGTCCTCTCTCCTTCTTTACATTTCTTTTAAACACAGTATATTAACACAACACTGTGTGAGAACTGGGATTCAGAAAACCAAGATATAGGTCTCCACCAGCTATGCTATGAGTCAGCCATGAAAACTCTCTGGGCCTCATTGACTGAATCTGTAAGATATGAATTTATAAGGATTATATTCATTGAACTCTGAGATCCTGTCCATTTCTTACACCCTGATTGAAAGACCGTACAGAACCTCTAACTCAGATATTCTTAACTAGGCTTCTTGTATGGGAAGATGATGAAAGAACTTCAAGGGGATCATGAGCTCTTTAAATTCTATGTAAAATCCAGGGCCAGATGTGGTGGCTCATGCCTGTAATCCCAGCACTTTGGAAGGCAGAGATTGGTGAATTGCCTGAGTTCAGGAGTTCCAGACCAGCTTGGACAACATAGTGAAACCCCATTTCTATTAAAATACAAAATAATCAGCCGGGTGTGGTGGTGCATGCCTGTAGTCCCAGCTACTCAGGAGGTTGAGACACGAGAATTGCTTGAACCCTGGAGGTGGAGGAGGTCGCAGTGAGCTGAGATTGTGTCACTGCACTCAAGCCTGGGGACAAAGAGAAACTCTGTTATTGTGGGATGTGGCCAGCAGCCCACAATGCAACAGGGCTCTGTCTTTGTTCCCAGGAGGATCAGCAGGTCAAGAAATAGTAGACAAACACAAGATAGTGAAAGCTGGGTCCAGGATGGTCACCGCCTTCTTGTCCAGTGGTGCTGTCAATGCACTGGATATACCAGCATTTATTATGAAGTTTAGTGAGGGCAGAGGTAGGTTAGTGAGGGGTTTAGGGTCGTTTGATTATGAGGTGAAATGGTCACATGTGGATGAAGTAATTCTTTAACACAACATCTGTATGTAGAAGTACAATATACAGAGATAAGAATTTACAATATAGTGTGTGCATCAGTAATTTCTGACAGAACCTTAAAACAGAAACACAGTCTTTCCGTAATCTATCATTAGCAAGATATTAATCAGCAGTAACAGTTGCAGCAAAAGCTGGTTACAAACAATCCATAGAAACAGGACGTGAAGCTAGACAGCTGGTTAGACCAGAAATTATCAGAAGGGAGTATGCCTTAACCCTAAAGAGGCCTAGAAGAGACATGGCAAGATGAGGGCATTTATAGCTCTATCTTATCCATATGAACAGGTGCCCCTCATGCATCCATTTGTAGGCTCTCCACAAGAGTCGCATTCCATTCCCAGAGTTATGGACATCTGCTTTTCTGGGATAGGAATCTTGGTGATATGAAACCTCCATGACTGCACGTTCGTTCATAGGCTCTCTGCAGAAGGAAGCACATCATGCACTGTTGGCTCACTCTGGAAGTCCAACCTGGCATTGTCTTTACACAATCCAGCATGCAACTTTGTATTTACAATAATCAGGAGCATTTCGTCATTTATTCTGTAACATTTCATCTTTTATTCTATAGCATTTCATCTTTTATTCTGATTTAAATGAACCATAGCAATCATAACTTGGTGCTGATCATGACTGGATTGAAGAATATTTTTTTCAATTTTACTCATGAACAATAAACCAATAGCACAAATTATACAGAGAACAAAATTAACAATAGTGGATCCTCCCAATGATTTTACCCATTGAATGGGGTTGAGATTAGATAACCCCTCAGAGATACTGTCTAAAGCTTCAACACTTGGTAAAGCAGTTAAGTGTGCTTGAGAGGCCTCAAAAATCTGTTCTTTCAGCTTGCTTATGTCTAAACTTAAGTTATCTTCACTTTCTTGCAAATGACGTTTTATTGATTCCCAATTGTGAACAGACTCATTATATTGAAACAGAGTTATACAAAAATCAGAAGTATTCCAATCACATTGCATTGGTGATCTATGTTCTAAACTCATAATTCTATCTCCCATCCCTATAACAGTTTGTCTTAGATCATTAATTTGATTGGCCAATTTTTGATCAATACCTGACTGAGAATTCCACATCTGAGTAGATTTTTTTTTTGCCATTCATCCACAAAATGAACAGTTTGAATAGACTGATGTAATGCAACTCCAGCAGTAGCAGCAGTCACAGTAACAGCAATCAAGCCCATTATTACTGCAATTAATGTAAAAATAAATTGTTTACTCCTTTTAAGAATTTTCTGTAGAATATTATTAATAACATCTGTAGAAGGGGAAGATTCCCAAGGCCTATGTAAGGCTATGGGTATCCAAATACCTTCTCTGGCTCTCAATATTAAAATACTATGATGTTGATTAAAGGATGAGTCAATACAAGTATACAAGTAACAATTAACACATGTAATTATGTTGGTTTTTGAACTAATATGCATCTTTCCTACTAATAACATATATGGTGGTTTAACACAACTTTTAAGTGGTATAGTTTTGTTGGACTCCATATAGATAGTATATATATTTTGGGATGGTACTCTTTTTTGTGAATGTGGGGTGGGGGGAATAGGTTGTATGAGAGGTGGTGGGGGGACATTAGCAACCGGGGGATATAAGTCCTCATAATCTTTACTGTCCCATCTTTGAATTGACCTTTTGATGATTGCCATAGTGATATTTTTTGGCTGTGTGGAAATAGTAGTGTGAATCAATCTGTTGTCTTGGTTTTTGAGGTGACAAGGTGGATTTACTTATAACACTTTCTCCAGCCCAAACTCTCATACCAGTCATAGCTATGGTTAAACTCCATAATTCTGAATGTTGAGGTCCTAAGTGGGGAACAAAGAGCCTTGGCTTTGGAGGGGCAATCCCTGCCCCTTTCCACGTAAGAGGAAAAAAGGAGTTAAATCTATGATATAATAGGTGAGGGTTGCCACTACTTTCTTGATAAGTAATATCATAGAGAAAATGTTGATAATCTCTGTGACCTTGAGAGCAATCATTAATAATATGACTTTTAGGAGCCTAATCAACAATGGTGTAGTGAGAACAATTAAATAACACAGTTCCTTCTGAACTAACACAATCCTTCCATATTAATTTGTCAGCATTTGAAGACAAGTTGAGGGGACCCACAGGTCCTAAAAGCTTATATTGGGATGTGTGAATATAATCAGCAATTCCTATTTTGATCTGCCTTAGAGGTTTTAATGAGAGCCCTGATACCAAGTGTTCCAAAGGAGGGATGGAGTGACCAGACGCTAGTGTGACCACCCATGTTTGAATCTCTAATGAGAGACATCCATTAGTGGGTCCCAGGCACAAAAGTAGATACCTAAAACCTAAAATGATATTGAAAGGGGTTCCTTCTTCTGAAAGTTGGGCAGGACAATGATCATCTACAGAACCAGGCATCCAAATACTATCATTAACAGAAACTTCGATAGGAGCGTCCATCCATGTCATGGCTCAAATAAGAGGATGAAATGGAATATAGGCCCAATTTGTACAGTTTTTAATAGTCTGTGGAGTGACAGAGGGTAGAAGGATCAGTGTCATCAGGAGGAGGCAGAGGTCGAGCCAGACCTGGATCTCTGGAGATGAGTTGTTCAGGATGGCTGACTGGATTGTCTGTTGTAAAGGAGTTAGCGTGGTTATTTTTTTTTTTTTTTTGACAGTTGGATGTGTTAGTTGTTTTTTTCTGTGGTGTTTTTTCAGCAAATTTCTCTGTCTCGTTGTCGCATGCATCTCCAGGACACAATTTCAGGTGTCTAGCAGGAATCCAAACGGAGATTGATGTGCACCTGGGGAAACACAAGCATAGCCTCTTTCCCAGGTTAAAATAGAAACTTTTGACCATATATTAGATTGAACATCTTTCCACTATACTTCCCTTCCTTGGTTTACTGTGGGACGCTTACCAGAGAAATGTTTTTTTTGGCAGCAGTAACAAAACTAGATTTAGGAATATTAAGAAAATTTAATGTGAGCAATGCCAAGTTTAGTTGTATGTGAGGGGTAGACAACTCCTTATCCCCCTCTTTTTGTTTAAGTAATTGTAATTTTAAAGTTCTGTTACTTCTTTCTATAATAGCTTGTCCTTGTGGGTTATAAGGAATACCAGTAATATGTTTAATATACCACTGATCAAGAAAATTTTTAAAAGCTTTACTGCAATAGGCTGGACCATTGTCTGTTTTGAGCCCACTAGGAATTCCCATAACCGCAAAACCTGAAAACATAAGTTTTTTAACATGAGAAGAGGCTTCTCCAGTTTGACAGGTAGCCCAGATGAAATTGGAAAAGGTGTCAAATGTGACATGCACATAAGCTAATTTTACAAAAGAAGGAACATGAGTAACATCCATTTGCTAAATAGCATTAGGAGAAAGGTCTCAGTGATTAACTCCGGGAGATTGTGTGGGTAAGACAAGAACCTGACACTGAGAATAGTGTTTTACAATTTGTTTAGCTTGTTTCCAACTGTGAGAATATTTATGTTTAAGACCTGAGGCATTAGTATGACTGAGTTGTTGAAATTGTTCTGCATCCATAATGGCTAGAGAAACTAGAGTATCAACTTTGTGATTATCACTGGATAAAGGTCCAGGCAAATTAGTATGAGATCGAATGTGAGTGATGAAAAAAAGTGTGGTTTCGGTTTCTGACAGTTTTTTTGTAACAAAGAGAACAAGGAAAACAGATTAGTGTCAGCAATGTTTCTGATGGTAGCTGTTTCTATTGCCTTAGTGGCATGGACTACTTGAGCTGAGTCGAGACAATATTAAGAGGCTGATCAAAATCCTGTAATGCAGAGATAACAGCAAACAACTTGGCTTTTTGAGCAGAAGTGTATGGAGTAGAAATGACTTTATCTTTTGGTCCTACATACCCTGCCTTTCCATTATTGGACCCATTAGTAAAAATGGTAATGGCTGCCTCTAGTGGTGATGAACGAGTAAGTTTTGGTAGAATCCAGGAAGTATTTCATAGAAATTGAAAGAATTTTGACTTAGGCAAATGATTATCTATAGTGCCAATGAAGTCAGCCAGATTAGTCTGCCAGCACAAGGATGTAGAAAAGGTATTTTTAACTTCATTTTTTGACAAAGGGACCACAATAATGTTTGGATGAAAGCCAGAAATTTTAGTGATACGTTGACATCCTAACCCAATTAAAGTGGCCATTTGATCAAGATATGTTGAAAAAGTTTTAGATGATGAATTAGGAAGAAATACCCATTCAACTAGAGCATCATTTTGTACTATAAGTCCCATAGGAGAGTGGATGGAAGGAAAAACTAAAAATTGTAAAGGCAAATTTGGGTCAATACAAGAGACTTTTGCCTCTCTCACTCTTTATTCTACAAAAGACAACTCTTGTTTTGCTGGTTCTGATAGACAGTGAGAACTGCTTAAATCTGTATCTCCTGATAAAGTGCCAAATAGATGAGATAATGCATAAGTAGAGATGCCTAGGGCTGGTCTGAGATAATTGATGTCACCTAGTAATTTTTGAAAATCATTTAAGGTGTTTAAATTGTCAGTACAAAGTTGGACTTTTTGGGGATTAATGGAGTGAGCTTCTAGCTGCTTTCCTAATTAAAGAAAAGGAGTGGCTTGTTGAATTTTATCAGGAGCAATGTGGAATCCTGTATTGGCAAAAGCTAATTTTAAAGAGGTGAAACATTGAATTAATTCACCTTTAGTGGGAGCAACAATCAGTATATCATCCATATAATGAAGAATGTAATTATTTGTAAAAGTCTGTCAGATAGGTTGTAACACAGTACTGACAAACCACTGACAAATAGTAGGACTGTTAATCATTCCTTGAGGTAAAACTTTCCATTGATATCTAGTTGCAGGAGCTGAATTGCTAATGGAAGGTATAGTGAAAGCAAATTTTTCACAGTCTGACTTGTCTAAAGGAATATGAAAAAAGCAGTCCTTAAGGTCATGATAATTAAAGGCCATTCCTTAGGAATCACGGAGGGGGAGGGCATACTGGGTTGTAACACCCCCATAGGTTTAATAACTGCATCAACAGCTTTTAAGTGTGTTACCATCCTCCATTTTCCTGACTTTTTTTGTACAACAAACACAGGCGAGTTCCATGGAGACAAAGAGGGCTGAATAGTGTTTGCTTGTAGTAAATCATTAACAATTTCAATTAAAGCCTCCAACTTGTGTTTGGAAAGTGGCCACTGCTCTACACAAACAGGTGACTCATACATCTATTGTGCAGGGGCAGAGGAAAAGAGAGAAGGAGAGTGAGGGCACTGGGAGGTGGACTAGGGTGAAGCAGGAATCCAAACCTCTGAAAGAAGGGGTCCCACAGCATTGAAAGAAACAGTAGGCTTAGAAGAGGGGAGAGGTCCAAAGGGATGAGAGGAATGAGAATCAGGCCATTCAGATGAATACCACACATCCTCCTCTGGCAGAGGGGGCAATGGCTTAGTAGAAGAAGATTTAACACTTACAGGTTCCAAGATAAGAGGCAGAGGGAGGGGATCATCACCATGTTCCTCCTCTTGGGGAGAAAACATGGAGAGATCGAATTCCTCCTCATCATCAGAAGGAGGACTAGTAGGGGGGTCAGGTACCCAAGGTAAAGGGAGCAGCTCACCATCCACATTAACTTGTGGCAGTTGAAGGGGATCACCAGACCGAAAAGGAAGTAAAGCAACATGAATAACAGCACAGTCAGCCCAAACAGAAATAGGAAGTAAAACACCATCTCTCGTGAGTTGGTGGACTGTGACACCAACTCTATCCCAGTCTAACAGGTCCATAGAACCTTTGTCAGGGAACCAAGGACAATATTTTTTTTCAATAGTTTGAAATAAGAGAATAATGTTATTGGAATCTGCCTTGATTCCACCCAGTATAAGAAGAAGTTTAATAAAAGACAGATAAGCCTGGTGTTTAGACTGTGATTGTCCCATAATAACCCTGGAACAGTACTGGTCAACAAACCCAAAAAGAGGGGAGAGTCAGAAAACTTGTACCCGGAGACCTTACCATGGAGACTGAAGACTAGTCATCATGAACATGCACTCAGAGTGCACTGAGCCACGGAACAAAAGAGGCCACACTGCAGGACAGATATTGTGGGATCTGGCCAGCAGCCTGCAACGGGCTCTCTCTTTGTTCCCAGGAGGATCAGCAGCTCGAGAAATAATAGACACACACAAGATAGTGAAAGCTGGGTCCAGGGCAGTCACCGCCTTCTGGTCCTGCGATGCCACCAATGAACTGGATATACCAGCATTTATTATGAAGTTTAGTGAGGGTGGGGGTAGGTTAGTAAGGCATTTAGGGTCATTTGATTATTAGGTGAGATGGTCATATAGGGATGAAGTAATTCTTCAGCATAACATCTGTATGAAGAAGTACAGTATACAGAGGTAAGAATTTACAATATAGTGTGTGCATCAGTAATTTCTAACAGAGCCTTAAAACAGAAACACAGTCTTTCCATAACCTATAATTAGCAAGATATTAATCAGCAGTAACAGTTGCAGCAAAAGCTGGTTACAAACAATCCATAGAAACAGGATGTGAAGCTACACAACGGGTTAGACCAGAAAGTCTCAGAAGGGAGTATGCCTTAACCCTAAAGAGGTCTAGAAGAGACATGGCAAAATGAGGGCATTTATATCCCTGTCTTATCCATATGAACAGGCACCCCTCATGCATCTGTTTATAGGCTCTCCATAAGGGTCGCATTCCATTCCCAGAGCTATGAACATCTGCTTTTCTGGGATAGGAATCTTGGTGATATGAAACCTCCATGACTGCACGTTCGTTCATAGGCTCTCTGCAGGGCGAAGCACATCATGTGCTGTTGGCTCATTCTGGCAGTCCAACCTGGCATTGTCTTTACACAATCCAGCATGCAGCTTTGTATTTACAATAATCAGGAACATTTCATCTTTTATTCCATAGCAATAGTTTCATGGGGTCTCCCTACATTCTGTCCCAAAAAATAAATAAATAAATAAAAAATAAATAAAATTAATTCTATGTAAAATCCTGTGTGAGCTGGCTGCATCACCTTGGCCCACAGAGGGTGTTTTCTTATCTTGATAAGATAGTCTATGGTTGCCCTACCAGGTACTCTCTTTTTATTATTTTATTTATTATTTTATATTTTAGAGACAGGGTCTCACTCTGTTATCCAGGCTGGAGTGCAGTGGCATGATTATAGCTCACTGCAGTCTTGGCCCCCTGTGCTGAAGTGGTCATCCCACCACAGCCTCCTGAGTAGCTAGGATCACAGGCATGCCCCACCATGCCCAGCTAATTAAAAAAAAATTTATGTGGCGGAGCACAGTGGTTCATGCCTTGAATCCCAGAACTTTGAGAGGCCAAGGCAGGAGGATTGATTGAGTCCAGGAGTTCAAGAACCTGAGAAATATAGAGAGACCCCATTTCTACTACTAAAAAAATAAAAAATAAAAACAGTGGCATTCACCTGTAGTGCCAGCCAATTATGAGGCTGAGGCTGAGGATTTCTTGAACCCAGGAGTTCAAGGCTACTTTGAGCTCTGATTGTGCCACTGCACTCAGCCTGGGTGACATGGCAAGACCTATTAAAAAAATGTAAGTCTACAGGTAAGAAAGTACTTGGAAAACAGTAAAAAAGTTAAACTCATGAATGACATTGGACCTTATGAAATGTGTTTACCCCAGAGCTGTTTATTGTATGATAGGTCCCTCCTAGATAGTATTCAAGTTTTAATGCAGAAATAGAGCGAGACTCCGTTTCTAAAATAAAATAAAATAGCCAGGCATGGCGGCTTGCACCTGTAGTACCAGCTGCTCAGGAGGCTGAGGCAGGAGGATCTCTTGAGCCCAGAGAGTTAGGGGCTACAGTGAGCTATGATCACACCACTGCACTCCAGCCTGGTTGATACAGCAAGATCCTGTCTCTAAAAAAAAATAATAAAATTAAATAAAAAGAACCCTGGGCCCCACCTGAGAGATTCAAGTTCATTTGCTTTAGCACAGGGCCATGGAATCTGTCCCAGCATCCTAAAAGCTGCCTCAGGGAGATAACAAAAGGACTGATATTGAAAGAGCTGTCAACAAGCTGTGAAAAAGATAAGGCTCCTCTGTGATGCAGGGAAGTGGGGCCAAGTAATAGGTTTTTTTTTGCAGGGGGAGTGGGGAGAGGAGCTGATTTAGGACAACTAAAATTGTCAGAGAGTGCAAGAATCTAGGGAAGGCTTGAGACCGTGAAACTGTGGTGGCCTCAGGTGGTGCTTCCGTGGGCTTTCTCCTCTCTTGGCAGGGTGGAGTCAGAAGCAGAGAAGGCAGATGGTGGGATGAACCGAAGTTGGGGTTTTATCAGAGAGGAGGAGTAGGAGGACAGTGTGTAAGGCAGATCAATGAGTGTTACTAAGGGGCTCAGGTCCTAGACAATGGGCCTAGCAGGTAGGCAATGAGGGTCGTGAGGGATGGATAAGATGCATGGCAAGGGGCCCTGAAAACCAGGGGAATATGGCAACACCAGGGCCCTGGCAGTCCCAGGAGGGAAACGGGTCTAACAGGAATGCCCCTGCACCTGTGCAGGAGAGCAGCAAGGCTAGGAGGCTGCAGACAGACAGTGGGTAACTGAAAGGTGAACTTTCTACTGAACAGCAAATCCCTGCATGCCATCCCGATGGAGATCTAAGATGAAAAATACCCTGCCATGAAAATGCTTTACATGGTCGTAACCATGAAGCATAAAATTGTCTTTTCACCTGAAAATGACCTGCAGCTTCGTTTACCATTTTACGCTTCGGATGTAATGTAACATCCAGAAGAAATACCCTCCCCCATTGCAAGTCAAATTAAAATCAGAAAATGCTCAGTGGAAAGAAAAAAAAAAAAGAAGAAGACAAGAAAATGGCAATAGCATAAAGCTGCAAACCCAAAGCACCAGGAGAGGAAAGGGAAAAAATCTGCAACACACTCAAGCTTTGATGTTGTGTGACCTGTGAAAATATATAGAAATATTACCTGACCAAAAAATTCCCTGACCAAAAAATTCCCTATGCTTTACTTGCCAACCACTGGAGGGAAGTAGAAATTCCCACTCAGGGTGTTACTTTTAATTATCATCCTCTTTGTGGTGTTTCCCAAAATAACAACAGGCATTCTAGAGATGATTTACCAAGATGGCTTAGTGAGGTGTCAGATGAGTACCCATGCCCGCAAGCCCCTTTACCTCAGGCCTCCTTATGCAAATTTGAATGACTCTTTTCAGCCCGACTAGATAAAAAAACAGACATAATTGGAGCAACTGGGCTGGACACACAGCTGGGCCGTCCCCTTAGAGACCAGACTCTAGCACCACGTGCTCTTCCTTGCCCCAGCGTTTCTCCCCACTCTTGCTTTTCAGAGCAGCAGCCCACCTGAACCTGGGTATTCCTCAGATGCTCTCCACATCAGTGCTTGTCAGCATTCATGTGCACACAGGTCACCTGTGAAACTTGTGAAAATGCAGATTCAGAGTCAGTGGCTGGGGTGGAGACTCTGGATCTATGTGTCTAACAAGCCCCTGGGTGATGCATGTGGTCATCAGATGGTCCTGGTTCCACACTTGGAGGAGCTATTTAGAGCCTGTAAAATAGCTACTCCTCTATCCAGTGTTTGAGTCCCAGACTTCTGGATTCTGCCAGCACTCAGATGCTTCTGGGACAGGATGCTTCCTTTTCAACTTGGGTCAACACATCAGAAAGTCCTTCCTGTATTGAGCTGAGATCTGTCTACCTAGGACCCACCTTCACCTGGCCTACTTCTGGGCCTTGGATTCTATGTAGCAGGCTTAAGGCCTTAGAAAGTGGCTGGCATGTCCCCCAAGTATTTTCTTCAGGCAAAACATGCCAGGTCCTCTGGCTATTATTTTTAAATTTTTCTTAGAGACAGGGTCTCACCACGTTGCCAGACTGTTCTCAAACTCCTGGGCTTAAGAGATCCTCCTGCCTCAGGCTCCCAAATTGCTGAGACTACAAGCACAAGTCACCATACCTGCTCTTGGCTATTCTTCTTATGCTATGGTTTGGTCTTTCTGGTCATTTCCTTCTTTTTTATTTTTATTTATTTATTTATTTATTTTTGAGAGGGTGTTTCACTCTTGTCGCCCAGGCTGGAGTGCAATGGTGTCATCTCGGCTCACTGAAACCTCCGCCTCCCAGGTTCAAGCAATTCTCCTGCCTCAGCCTCCCGAGTAGCTGGGATTACAGGTGCCCACCATCACGCCCGTCTAATTTTTGTATTTTTGGTAGAGACGGGGATTCACCATGTTGACCAGGCTGCTCTCAAACTTCTGAGTTCAGGCCATCCACCTGCCTCAGCCACCCAAAGAGCTGAGATTACAGGCATGAGCCATTGCACCTGGCCCTAGTCATTTCCTTCTGGTCCTGCTCTGTGTGTCTTTAGGCCTCTCCTCTTGTGATACCCATGCTGCAAAAAGTAGCATGGGAGTGTCACCACCTCATTACAGATAGTCTTTATGTGACTCGTGTTGTACTTGCTGTCAG
This sequence comes from Homo sapiens, assembly GCF_000001405.40. Classification (NCBI taxonomy): domain Eukaryota; kingdom Metazoa; phylum Chordata; class Mammalia; order Primates; family Hominidae; genus Homo; species Homo sapiens. The sequence goes on along the minus strand of NC_000012.12, from coordinate 38,119,280 downwards.
CCATCACCCATAAAGTCATTTTTACATAGGCTGTGAATCAGCCACATTTCTTCCTAGTCAGTAATAATTATAATAATTATACTTAACACTTATGAGAATTAGTATAGCAAGATGGTTAAGAACATAGGCTCTGGAATCAGACTGCCTAGTGGGAAGCACTATGATTGGCACCATGTGTTATCTATCACCATCACCATCATCATCATCCATCACCACCACTATCACCACCATCATCATCACCATCACCGTCATCTCCATCACCATCATCACATTACCATCACCACCACCGCCATCGCTATCACTACCATTATCACCATCACCATCATCACCATTGCTATCATCAACATCATCATCACCATCACCACCACCATCATCACCATCACGATCATTACCATCACTATCACCACCATCATCACCATTACCATCATCATGACCATCACCACCATCACCATCACTATCACTACCATTATTATCATCACCATCATTACCCTCACTATCACCATCATACCACCATCACCATCAGCACCATCATCATCATCACCATCATCACCATCACTGTCACATCATCATACCATCACCATCATCACCATCACCATAATAATCAGCACCATCACCTTCACCCATCACCATCACCACCATCTTCACCACCACCACCATCATCATACCATCACCATTTTCATCACCACCACCATCATCACCATTGCCATCATCATCACCACCATGTTACGTAAGCACTTTGCCTACATTAACTGATTTAATTCTCATAACAACTTCATAATGTAGGGGCTATTATTATCCCAGTTTTACAAGTGAGGAGGTGGGACCTCACAAGATTATGTTTTGTGCCGAGGGTAACAGTGACAAGAATTTAAACCTGGGCAGGGTCCTTTGATTGTTTATGTTTATTATGTCATTGACCAAAGTGCAAGACCATGTCTGTTCCTGCTATTCATAAATTTCATCTTTTAGTCAGCACTTTACCCTTATTTTACACTATCTTTTGGATTCCTGGTTCTGTCATCCCAAGTGTGCCTGCCCCCTAGCTTCATGCTGTCTGTCATATTGTGAGAAAAATAGGTATCTTCACCTAGATCATACACAAGGTCAGAGGCCATGTGACAGTTCCCTATGGATTCTGGTCACTGAAGCCCGATGGTGCACATCTCCTAAAGCTCCCTGAGCCTGTAGTCTTGTAACCCACTCAGAGAAGCCTAGGGAGTGGTCAGGCATGATTTGTATTTGAACATATTTGTATTTGGTTCCTGGGGAAGATGTTTCCTCCTCGCTTTCAGGTCTCCATTCCAGAATCTTTTCCAAGATGAACAACTCCCTCCAAATTTATAGTTGCTGAAATCAATTGTCTGGGCAGGGCCAGATGCAAGGAACAAATAGAAAGCAAGGTCTGCAGAACACACATCCCAGAGGTGATAATGACCAGTTAATCCCTGTGGATAGTTAGATCTAGGAGACTGTCCCTGGGTTTCAGGGATCCCTGCCTCTGAATCCAGCAGTGCAAATGCAAGCCTCTATGTTCCCCCTAAACCATAGGTGGCTGAGCAGCCATGGTGTTGCCAGCATTTCTATAAAGGAGGAGCTCAGGGCAGCAATCTCATCAGAGGGGAGGCTGGGGCTGGCCTTGAATTTAGGTTGTACGTATATTTGGGGCAATTTGCAAGGAGGGGGTGCCCTGTTAGAGATTATGTGAGCTAAATCCCCCACACAAAGCCATTTTGTGCCACTGCTCCTGTGCCAACTGACCAGAAAGTCTGGACTGATTTCTCCCCTCTCTCCTTTCCTTGTTCTGTTCTCTGACCCTGGATGATTAATGTAACCTAGCTATGTTCAATTACCTATCCTTTTCATGTTGTCGGGATGTCTGCCACCTGTCCCTGGTGCTCTTCTTGGCTTCCTGTGAACCGTGACAATGGGAGCCTTGCGACTTTTGGAGGAGAGCAGGGGGCCCTGTGTCTGCCATTAGTCTGGGCTCCCTAATCACACGATTTTCACTGGAGCCTGTCCGAGCTGGGAAGTTGCAAAACAAGCATGCAGGGAACATTCTTCCACCCCAGTATGCTCCCCTCATGAAATCATCAAGCAAACCCTGAATGCTTTCTCTTGGTGTGGTCAGGCAGAAGGGCTGTCCCTCTCATACCAGAGGAGTCAGTGGCCATTGGCTGACTGAGACTAATGGCAGATCTAGAAGGATTTGGAGAAGGCTGTCTTTGTTCTCTTAGAACAGCATGTAGCCATAGTAGTGCACATGTTTTTGGGACAGTGGTGCCCCCTCAAGCCATGAAAACTGATGGGGCACGGAGGGCAGCTCCAGCCAGAAATGGGAAGTGTCTCAAACTTTAGTGAAGTGATCTTTAATCTCTGATTTACAGAGCTGATGTTGACACATTATTCTCAGGAAAACAGTAGTTTAGGGTATGGTCTCAAGCTCTGTCTAGGTTGAAATTTTGTTGGGCATGTAGGTGCACATTTATAATCCCAGCATTTTGGGAAGCCAAGCAGGAAGATTTCTTGAGCTCAGAAGTTTGAGACCAGTCTGAGCAACATAGAGAGACACACTCTCTCCAAAAAAAAAATTAAAAATTAGCTGGGCATGGTCGCACACACCTGTAGTCTCAGCTACTGAGGAGGCTGAGGCAGAAGTATCACTTGATCCCAGGAGATTGAGGTTGTGATGAGCTGTGATCATGCCACAGCACTCCAGCCTGGGCAACAGAGCAAGACCCTGCCTCAAAAAAATATTTTACCAGCTCTGTGATCTAGGACAATTTATTTGAGTTTTGCAGGCCTCATCCAAAGATAATAATTGGACTTACCTTATTGGTTATGACAACTAAATAAAAAATAATACATGAAAAGGGCTTAGAACAGTTCCTGGCATTTAGTAAGAGATTTGTAACTATTAACTACTATTAGTACCATCAACATCTTTATTGCCACTATTTACTGAGTGTTTAATATGTGCCAGACATGTTTAAGCACATACAGAACATGCATTATTAGCTCATTGAACTTCACTTTTTTTTTGGGGGGGATGGGAAGGGGGTTGTTGTTTTTTGAGATGGAGTCTCATTCTGTCACCCAGGTGGGAGTGCAGTGGTGAGATCTCAGCTCACTGCAACCTCTGCCTCCCAGGTTGAAGCAATTCTCCTGGTTCAGCCTCACAAGTAGCTGAGACTATAGGCATGTGCAAACACACCCGGCTAATTTTTGTATTTTTAGTAAAGACAGGGTTTCACCATGTTGGCCAGGCTGGTCTTGAACTCGTGACCTCAAGTGATCTGCCCACCTCGACCTACCAAAGCGTTGAGATTATAGGCATGAGCCACTGTGCCTGGCTGAACTACACTTTGAAGTAGGGGTTAACCCTGTGCTTCAGTTGAGGAAATTAAAAATGGGAGAGTTCAGTAACCTGCACAAAGTTAAACCGGCAAGTAATTGAAGTCAAAATCTAGAATCAAGGGTTTTTTGTTTATTTTTTGTTTTGGAGACAGGGCGTCACCCAGGCTGGAGCGCAGTGGTGCAATCACAGCTCACTTTAGTTTCAACCTCCTGGGCTCAAGCAATCCTCCCACCTCAGCCTCCTGAGTAGATGGGACCAAAGGCATGCACTATCACACCTGGCTAATTTTTGTATTTTTTATAGAGACCAGGTTTCACTATGTCGTCCTGGCTAGTCTTGAACTCCTGGTTTCAAGTGATCTGCCGCCTGTCTTGGCCTCCCAAAGTGCTGGGATTACAGGCATGAGCCACCGCATCTGGCTTGGAATTGAGTTTTCCTAACTCTGGAGTTATGCTGCTATTGCCCTCTGCTACTGTTCATAGTAACAGCCTTATTACTGAGTATTTCCCACTTGCTGAGTAGGGTGCTGAGCACTTTACATGTCTTATTTCATTTAATGTTCACAATAATCCTATGAGGTAGATTCTCTTGTTATTCGCATTTTACAGATGAGGTAACAGGTTCAGAGAAGCTAAGCAGCCTCCACAAATTTATACGGCAAAGAAAGCCAACATTTAAATCCAGGCCTGCCTGACTCTAAAATCTGTTCTATTGAGTTTGACTGCCAAACAGGTGAGCAGGACGCTCCCAGGAGGATGGCAACAGTGATTGGTGATCCATGACGTCTGGGATCCACTGAAACTCAGGGATAGTTTGCCTAATCAGCCCTATTTTCTGAACTATCGTTAGGGACAATTTTCACTTTCTCTGATGCTTCATTTCCTTGCAGCTTCTGAAAGCTGTTGATTTGCTCAGATTAAGACAAGCTTCTGTGCCTTTCGCATCTCAGATTGTTGTGTACGTGCTCAAGAGTATGAAGGAATCATAAGCAGTCTAGGAGGCCCTGGTGCACTATGCAAAATTTTTGCCACATTGCTGTGTTTCTTGATGAAACACTTGAGGTTATGTGACTGCAAGATTCCAAATATGCATTTCAACATCAGGTTGTGACAGGGCAACTTGTTTTGTGATGCATAGCACTATAATATATTCTATATACAAGAGATTCTTAGCCAGGGATGCATGGCGGGGCTCCAGAGGCTCTGGGAACATTCTGTATGTGTGTGTGCATTTTACTCAAGAGAGAGCTCCTAACTTTTATAATATTCTCAAAGGAGTTCATGAATCAAAAAAATCATTTAAAAACCATTGTTCTCTGACTGGGCACAGTTGCTCATGCCTGTAATCCCAGCACTTTGGGAGGCTGAGAAGGGCCATTCACCTGAGACCAGCCTGGCCAAAATTATGAAACCCCCTCTCTACTAAAAATACAATTAGCTGGGCGTGGTGGCGCATGTCTGTAATCCCATCTACTTGTGGGGCTGAGGCAGGAGAATAGCTGGAATCCGGGAAGCAGAGGTTGCAGTGGGCAGAGATCACGCCATGACACTCCAGCCTGGGCAACTGAGCAAGACTCCATCTCAAAAAAAAAAAGAAGATAAAAGAGAACTCTCTTCAGGGCTCCCATCTGGTTTTGCAGAATCAGAGAATGTGATCACTGAAAGGGTTTAGGGGAGGGTGCAGGGGACCGAAGGGGCAGGGCCAAAGGCTGGAGGGACAATAGCTCACCCTGGAATGTTTTCGTTTGGTGGGATGACTCAGGAAACAAGCTGACTCTGAAAATGACACAGAATTCAGGGTTATTGCTTCTTTGAAAGGTGGGTGGTTTGTGTTTTTTTCCTCAACATTCATTCATATACTTCTAGGAAGTGCCGTTTAGTTTCATAAAGTTTACATATACCTGGTTTCGCTGCATCTGGAGAGATTCAGGATAGTTCTTGTTAATGAGAAGTCCTAGGGTGGAGCTACAATTCACTCTCCATTGTGAACCCTGATAACTTGAGACAGATCTCAGTGAATTAAGAAAGTTTATTTGGCCAAGGTTGAGGACACATACCCATGACACAGCCTCAGGAGGTTCTGAGGACGTGTGCCTAAGGTCATCAGAGCAGTTTGGTTTTATACATTCTAGGAACACCAGAGACATGAATCAATTTGTGCAAGATTAATATTGGTTCGGTCTGCAAAGGCGGGACAACTTGAAGCAAAGGCAGGAATTCTCAAAGCGAGGAGGGCACTTCCGGGTCATAGGTAATTGAGAAACTAATGGTTGCATTCTTTTGAGTTTCTGATTAGCCTCTCCAAAAGAGGAAATTAAATATGCATTTATCGCTGTGAGCAGAGGAGTGACTTTGAATAGAATGGGAGGCAGGATGGCCCTAAGCAGTTCCCAGCTTGACTTTTCCCTTTAGTTTAGTAATTTGGAAGCCCCCAAATTTATTTTTCTTGTACACAATTTTTAAAACCCAGATAGAAGTGTCCATGCTTGTTAAAGAAACAAAGGAAGAAAGAAAAGCAAATGATAGGCCAGGCACGGTGGCTCACGCCCGTAATCTCAGCACTTTGGGAGGCCGAGATGGGTGGATCACCAGAGGTCAGGAGTTGGAGACTGTATTACAAATACAAAATTAGGAGGGTGTGTGGAGGGCACCTGTAATCCCAGCTAGTCTGGAGGATGAGGCAGAAGAATCACTGGAAACTGGGAGGCAGAGGTTGCAGTGAGCCAAGATCACGCCACTGCACTCCAGCCTGGGCAAAAAGAGTGAAACTCTGTCTAAATAAAGAGGTAAATAAATAAATATAATTATTTTAATCTGTTTGTTAAAGGTATCTGATAGAATTTTGAATTTCTTTTTTTGTTATTTTGAATTTGTTTCCCTAATGCTGAATTCCCTATTCAGAATTCTCTTTCAGAAAAATGACACATTTCTGTTTCTCCAGGATTGGTCCCTGGTTCCTTTTTTAGTTCATTTGATTAAATATTTCTTTTAATGATTTGCTGATGCCGATAGATCTTTGTGGGTGTCTCGCCATTGAAGATTTGATATTTATTGTAGTCAACACTGTTTGGGCTTGTTTGTAACCATTGTTCCTGGGAAGGTTTTAGAGATATTTAAAAGGACTTGGGTGTTGTGATCTAAGCTCTTTCTACTTTAGGGGACATCTTAAGCCCAGTAACACTGTGGTTCTTGCAGGCTCACAGAGGTACTACCGTGATGGTCTTAGACAACAGGGTCTTGGAGAATTTTCTGAATTATCTAGCAGAGACTTTTCTTTTCTTCTTTTACTTTCTCCCAAACAAATAGAGTCTGTGTGTGTGTGTGTGTGTGCATGTGTGTGTGTTCTGAGACACATGAAAGTGAAGTGGAATGACACAAACATCTCTGTGGCCATGACCACTATGACTGCACTGGGTCAGAACTGAATCCAGCAGAGTGCTTGAACTCACCCAAGGCCTGCCATCACACCTTCATGGTTACAGTCTGTGTTCACTCAAGGCACTGTGGCTCTACAATCAGCAGGTGAAAAAGTCAGCCAGGCCTCGATTACTCCCTTCAGTTTAGCAAGTTTCTTTAGGCCCTAGGTTGGTTCAGAGATGCTATTCAGGAGTCAGAGAGTAAAATAAAAAACTTCAGAAAGCTAAGGTTTTGGCAGTGAGAGTTTGGCAGAAGAGTGTGGAACAGATCTTTAAAAAAGCAAAAGTTTCTAAATAAAGATTGAAACCTGATGAAAAAATAGAGATATATATTTAAAAAAATTATGTTCATGCTAATTTTACTTATTTATTTATTTATTTTTGAGGCAGGATCTTGCTCTATCACCCCAGCTGGAGTGCAGTGGCATGAGCTCAGCTCACTGCAAGCTCTGCCTCCCGGGTTCAAGTGATTCTCCCACCACAGCCTCCCTAGTAGTTGGGAATACAGGCACATGCCACGATGCCCGGCTGATGTTTTGTATTTTTAGTAGAGATGGGGTTTTGCCATGTTGGCCAGGCTGGTCTTCAACTCTTGGCCTTAAGTATTCTGCCCACCTCAGCCGGCCTCCCAAAGTGCTGGGATGACAGGCACAAGCCACCATGCCCAGCTCAATTTTACTTGTTATTTAATTATGCCAGCCCTCATTCTGAAAAAAGACTAGATGCAGGGGTTAATAACTAGTGCTTTGATTTTACTTGTAAAACGTATTTTCTTTTTTTCTTGTGGGCACCAGTAAATTAAACTCTAATAAAAATAGAATACAGGCCGGGCATGGTGGCTCATGCTTGTAATCTCAGCACTTTGGGAAGCCGAGGCAGGTGGATCACAAGGTCATGAGTTCGAGACCAGACTGGCCAACATAGTGAAACTCCGTCTCCACTAAAAATACAAAAAAACGTTAGCCGGGCATGGTGAGGGGGTGCCTGTAATCCCAGCTACTCCTGACACTGAGGCAGGAGAATAGCTTCAACCTGGGAGGCAGAGGGAGCAGTGAGCCGAGATCGCGCCACTGCACTCCAGCCCGGGCAACAGTGTGAGACTCCGTTTCAAAAAAAAACTATATATATATAATATATTTAATATATTAATAATTTAATATATTTAATATATTGTGTATATATTATATATATATACACAATACATGTTTTCAGCCATGTGTTGTATGTGTATTACTCATATATATGCTATATATTATGTGTATATTAATTATAATATATAGATAAAATATACATTATATGTAGAAACAGACTATACATTACACACTCACACACACACTCATTCACACACATGTGCTATGTGGTCTAAGACGTACTCAACCAGTTCTTAGTGATCATTGAAATGATTGAACTTATTTATAAATTTATTAAAATTTTATCAATTTATAAATAAATATAACATTTATTAAACACAGAATTAGCCATCTCATTATTAGATGAAACACCTAATTTGTGTAATAATGATATATTTGATAGACATGGAGTTACTAGGAGCTGAACACATGTTTCTTAAGGTAAATGTATATTCTATGTAAATCCCTCCCAAATGTTGATCCCCAAAGCATGTGCAGCTTTTGTAAACACTTTTATGCGTTGCATTAAGTTAACAATGGATGTCAAGTGTTGCAATAATCTAATACATTTTTTCTGAATATCAACACCAGGTTTTTACCTGTTTCTCAAATGCACAATTGCCACCCTCTCTTTCCCTGGCATTTTTTTAGGCCACTGGCAAGGGGTTGCTCAGCTTGCCAAAATGATAGGATTAAATGACTGGTTTTGAGATTCCAGTTTGCCTCTTACCAGCCATGTGGCTTTACTTATTTATTTATTCTTTCTAGGCAGCTGCTCACAATGAGACAACATTTTATCTTCTTGTGTAAAATTGGAATAATGACTCCCTTAATCCTTGAGTTTTCCTAACGATTAAGTCAACTCACACCTGTAAGCTCCTGCTTTAGCACAGTGCTTGGCAGAGAATGTGCCCTTAAGTAGCTGCATGTATTTTCTTCTGTAGATAACAGATAGTAAAATATTCAAAGGCATAGCTCAGCTGGAACCTAATAACATTTCTGGATACTTCAGACACAGCCTATAAGAAATCACAACTTGTTGAACTTTGTGGAGAGACAGAATACTGCCAATCACAGGAGAAATAGATCAATGAACTGCAGTCCAAACTTTTTTTCTCTGCTCCCCGCTGCCTTGGTGACTCATACTCTCTGCCCCTTTTTGTCATCAGTCAAAGCAGAAGGAATTGACTTGCCTAATTCACAGAACTTGAATTGACTTGCCTAATTGACAGAAGAAATCAGAGAATTTTTAAAAAGAGCCTTGGTGTTGTACTTAGTATCAATTAAATATTTATTTCTATAAATATAAGAACACCTATTGCCACATAATGCTCATTAAATATATATTTACAGAACTCTGCCAGGTGCAGTGGCTCACTCCTGTAATCCTAGCACTTTTGGAGGCTGAGGTGGGAGATCATTTGTGCTCAGGAGTTCAAGACTAGCCTGGGCGGCATGCGGAAACCCCATCTCTACACAAAATAAAAAATTAGGCTAGTGTGGTGGTCTGCATCCATAGTCACAGCTACTTCGGAGGATCACTGAAGCCCAGGAGACGGAAGTGGCAATGAGCTAAGATGACACCACTGCATTTCAACCTGGGTGATAGTGAGATCCTGTCTCAAAAATCAAATCAAATATATATTTACAGAACTCTTATTGTTATTATGTTCACTCACAGATTGTAATTTGTGAGAATCATGAAGTATGTGTAGAATTTGCCCAAATTCTTTTCTCTGCTCAGCTTCTTCTATTTAAACACAGACCATAGTGTTAAATATTTGTTTGAGGCAAGGGCTAAAGTAGGATGGCACTATCCCCTGGGCAGGAGTATGAGGCCACAAGGGGCCAGAAGTGATTCACATGAAAAAGAGGATTTGAGTGGTTGGGAGATTTTTTTCTCCTTGGCTTGTTAAATTAAGCTGTGTGATACCTTACATTTCAAGAGTACCCAGGATTAAGAACTTTTTCCTTTCTACCACTTTATAATCACTCTTGATCCTACATTTGTCATATCCAACAGGACTATAAAAGCTCGAGCTCCCCCCTCCAAATCACCAATCTTACGTAGTTTAATACTTAAAGTTGCTGAAGTTGGCTATAGATGAAGGAAAAAATTTTGGAGTGCAGAGGTAGTGGGCACCTTCATGTGGGTAAAGAAGAGACTAACAAGACCCATTCAATGTAGCTTTCAGCAGCCTTTTGGCTGCTCACAGCTCAACCACATGAACTTCTAGTGGTTTGGACTCATCCAAGCCTCAACATTAGCTTTAAGGACTCCTTGATCCTTTCAGCAGGAGAAAAATGAACATGCGAAGCACTCAGGCTCTTGGTTTTAATCATCTCACAGACCAGCCTCATTAGCAGACTGCAGAGTGTACAGCCCTTGTTTCACCACACTAATCACTTGGCTGAGAGAATTTGCTGTTGGTCCTAGGGGAACTTCTCATATCCCTTGCAAGTTCTTCAAGTATTTTTATCTTTCCCCCTTTCAGAAAGTTGTGTTTATCGCAGCATCCTACTCTCATCACCAAAACTAAATCATTGTGAAGGATCTTAGATTTTATCCTATTTGTAAACTAACCTATTAATCTTCCAGTTTCATGGATGCTGGTAGAAGGCATGAGACACTGAAGTATGACAAAAATACTTATGATTGACAGCAGAACTAGAGGCAAAAGCTTCATATTTGTATTAGTTCTCCTTGTGCACACTACATTTTTAGAGGGATTTCAAAAGGCTCAGATGGACATTGCACATGGGGAAGATTTGTGTCACAGCTGAGCAACCTCAAGATTAAAAAACCTCAATCTTTTAAAAATAAGTTACATGCAAACTTGTCCAACATTTGCCTCACAGAGAAAAATTGTCTTTTTTACATTGGTTGAGTAATTTATCTGCCATTCACCCGAAGAGAAAAATTACTACCCTTTTCCCGGGCTATTTCTGTACAAAAATCTTTGAAAAATAACCTGGAACAGGAGAGATATGTGACGTAAAAAATAAAAAAACAACAAACTCTAAAAGAGCTTTGGAGAATTATATCTCAGCAGCATGCATCCTTTCCATTAAATATTGCACTAAGCAATCCTCTGATGTAAAAGATCCATTGAAGATTTTCGACATGAAGACTAACTTTGGTTGTTTTGTGTTGTGGGATTGTTAAAGACTGTAAGAGACAGGAATAAATACAATTACCAGGACTTTAGAGAAACGGAAGTTCTTTGATTTTTTTTTTTTTTTTTTAGATGGAGTTTCTCTGTTTCCCAGGCTGGAGTGCAATGGCGCAATCTCAGCTCACTGCAACCTCCGCCTTCCAGGTTCAATTGATTCTCCTGCCTCATAGCTGGGACTAAAGGCTCTTGCCACCACACCGAACTAATTTTTGTATTTTTAGTAAAGACAGAGTTTCACCATATTGGCCAGCCTGGTCTCAAACTCCTGACATCAGGCGATCCACCCGCCTTGGCCTCCCAAAGTGCTGGGATTACTGGCATGAGGAACTGTGCCCAGTCCCAGAAATGGAAGTTCTATGTGTGAAGTGATGTAATTCTGGCTGGGTGAATGACAGGTGAGAGGAAATTAAAATAAAACACAATTGAACATATTTAGAAAACACTGAAATTGGTTAGCTTACTGGAAATAGTTAAATGACTACCAATGTATACAGCATATTTATTCTTGATGAATTGCTAGTCTAGATTTGAGAGATAAAATCATTATTTTTACAACACAGAAACATAAACTGCATTTCCATATACCAAGAATAAATTTGAGAGTAAATTAAGAAAACAATTGTTTGCAACAATATTAAAATAATATAATGCTTAGCAATAAATTTAATAAGGAGGTAAAAAACTTGTACACTGAAAGCTACAATATAAGAATATTTATGAAATAAACTAAAAAAGACTTAAATAAGTGGCAAGGAATTCCATGTTCATGGACTGGAAGACTTAATAAAGCTAAGATGGCAGTATTAGCCAAAGTAGTGTACAGATGTACTGTAATCCCAAGTTTTTATTTTTTCCAACTTTTCTTCTGCAAAAACAGAATAGCCCATTCTAAAATTCATATGGAATTTGAAGGTGCTCTGAATGTCCAAAATAATCTTGAAAAAAAGAATAAAGCTAGGTGGCTCACAATTTTAAATTTCAGAACATACAGAGCTACTATAATTAAAACAGTTTTATACTGGCATAAAAAGAATGATAGACACCAAATTAATAAAATAGATAACCCCCCAAAAATACCCTTGCATAAATTATTGTCTTTTGACAAGGATGCCTAAACAATTATGTAAAGGAAAGGACAGTTTTTTCAACAACTGATGCTAGGAAAACAAGTCCAAATTTAAACCAGTAGGGTTAAATCTTTATCACATTCCATGTAAAAAAAATAAAAATAGATTCAAGACATAAAAATAATAGTTAAAACTTTAGTGGTTTCTGATGGTTGCTTTTATTTATGTGGGGTCAGTACTACCATGAACAACTTTATACACACAAACTATAAAACTTAGAAGAGATAGATACATTCCTAGACACATACCCTCCCAAGACTAAGCCAGGAAGATGACATTGATTTCCTAAATAGATCAATAACACGCTCTGAAATTGAATCAGTAATACATAGCTTACCAATCAAAAAGAGCCCTGGACCTTATGAATTTACAGCCAAATTCTACCAAATGTACGAAGAAGAGCTGGCACAATTCCTACAGAAACTATCCCAAAAAATTGAGGAGAATCTCCTCCCCAACTCATTCTATGAGACCAGCATTATCTTGACACAAAAACCTGGCAGAGACACAACAAATATAGAAAACTTTAGGCCAACGTTCTTGATGAACATCAACACAAAAGTTCTCAACAAAATATTTTCAAAACGAATCCAGCAGCACATCAAAAAGATAGTCCATCGTGATCAAGTAGGCTGCCTCCTTAGGATGCCAGGTTGGATCAGCACATGCAAATCAATAAATGTAATTCATCACATAAGCAGAATTTAAAAAAAGACAGGATTATCTCAATAGATGCAGAAAATAATAAGAGCCATCTATAACAAACCCACAGCCAACATTCCGCAGAATGGGTAAAAGCTGAGAGCATTCCCTTGAAAACCATTACAAGGCAAGAATGCCCTCTCTCACCATTTCTATTCAACATAGTATTGGAAGTCCTGACCAGAGCAATCAGGCGAGAGAGAGAGAGAAAAAAAAGAGCATCCAAATAGGAAGAGAGAAAGTCAAACTATCGCTGTTTGCAGATAACATAATTCTATATCTAGAAAGCCCTGTAGTTTCAACTCCAAAGCTTCTTTAGTCAATAAACAACTTCAGCAAAGTTTCAAGTTACAAAATCAATGTGTAAAAATCACTAGCATTTCTCTACACCAAGATAGCAACACTGACAGCCAAATCAGAAAGGCCATTCATTCAAAATTGCCACAAAAATAATAAAATATCTAGGAATACAGCTAACCAGGGAGGTGAAAGAGCTCTACAATGAGAATTACAAAACACTGTTTGAAGAAATCAGAGAAGACACAAACAAATGGAAAAACGTCCCATGCTCATGGATAGGAAGATCCAATATGACTAAAATGGCTATAGTGGACAAAGTAATTTACAGATTCAATGCTATTCCTATCAAATTACCAATGAAATTCTTTACAGAGCTAGAAAAACTATTTTAAAATTCATATAAAACCAAAAAAGAGCACAAATAGACAAGGCAACTCTAAGCAAAAAGAGCAAAGCTGGAGGTATCACATTACCTGACTTCAAACTATTCTACAAGGCTACAGTAACCAAAACAGCATGATACTGATACAAATACAGGCACATAGACAAATGGAATAGAATAGAGAACCCAGAAATAAGGCTGCACATCTGTGACCATGTGATAATTGACAAAGCTGACAAAAACAGGCAATAAGGAAAAGATTTCTTATTCAATAAATGTTGCTGGGATAACTGGTTAGCCATATGTGGAGAATTGAAGCCAGACCCCTTCTTTACACCATATACAAAAAAAATAAATAAATAAACTCAAGATTGATTGAAGACTTAAATATAAAACCAAATTGTATAAAAATCCTAGAGGACAATCCAGACAATAGAATCTTGGACAGGAATGTGCAAAGATTTCATGACAAAAACACCAAAAGCAATAGCAAGAAAAACAAACATTGACAAGTAAGATCTAATTAAACTAAAGAGCTTTTGCATAGCAGAAAATAAAGCTATCAACATAGTAAACAGATAACCTAGTGAGTGGAAGAAACATTTGCAAACTATGCATCTGAAAAAGATCTAGTATCCAGCATCTATAAGGAACTTAAATTTACAACAAAAGAAACAACCTCATTAAAAAGTGGGCAAAGGACATGAACAGACACTTTTCAAAAGAAGACATACATATGGCCAACAAGTATATGCAAAAAACCTCAGCATCACTGATTGTTAGAGAAATGAAAATTTAAACCATAATGAGATGGCCAGGTGTGGTGGCTCACGACTGTAATCCCAGCACTTTGGAAGGCTGAGGCAGGCAGAACACGAGGTCAAGAGATCGAGATCATCTTGGCCAACATGGTGAAGTCCTGTCTCTACTAAAAATACAAAAATTAGCTGGGTGTGGTGGCATGCACCTGTAGTCCCAGCTGCTTAGGAGGCTGAGGCAAGAGAATCACTTGAACCTAGGAAACGGAGGTTGCAGTGAGCTGAGATCGTGCCACTGCACTCCAGCCTGGTGACAGAGTGAGATTCCATCTCAAAAAAGAAAAAAAAAGAAAGAAACCACAATGAGATGCCATCTCACACTAGTCAGAATGGCTATAGTTAAAGAGTCAAACAATAAATGCTGGTGAGGTTGTAGAGAAAAGGGAACTTATACACTGTTGGTAGGAGTGTAAATTAGTTCAACCATTATGGAAAGCAGTTTGGCAATTCCTCAAAGAGCTAACAGCAGAACTACCATTCAATAGTTCTGCTTGCAATCCCATTACTGCGTATATTCCCAGAGACATAGAAATTATTCTACCATAAAGACACATACATGAAAATGTTCATTGCAGCCCTATTCACAATAGCGAAGACATGGAATCAACCTAATACTATCAACCAAAATACTATCAACTTAAATACTATCAGTATGGAGTATCAACCTAAATACTATCAGTAACAGGTTAGATTAAGAAAATCTGTCACATATACATTATGGAACACTAGCAGCCATAAAATAAAGAGATTATGTCTCTTGTGGCAACATGGAATGTAGCTGGAGGCTATTATCCTTAGCAAACTAACACAGGAACAGAAAACCAAATATCACATGTTCTCAGTTGTAAGTGGGAACTAAATAAGAACTTAGGAACTCAAAGAGGAAGACAGCAGACACTGGGGTCCATTTGAAGTTAGAGGGTGGGAGGAGGGAAAGAAGGAGAAAAGATAGCTATTGG
This sequence comes from Homo sapiens, assembly GCF_000001405.40. Classification (NCBI taxonomy): domain Eukaryota; kingdom Metazoa; phylum Chordata; class Mammalia; order Primates; family Hominidae; genus Homo; species Homo sapiens. The sequence continues at coordinate 38,103,916 of NC_000012.12, read as the reverse complement.
GTACTGGGCCTAATACCTGGATGATAAAATCATCTGTACAGTGAACCCCTGTGATATATGTTTACTATGTAACGAATCTTCACATGTACCCCCAAACCTGCTGTAAAAGTTCTAGAAAGTTAAACTTTAAAAACTCTTAGGAAAAAGCATATGCAAAAATCTTATAACATTAAATTTGGTGATTGTTTCTTGACTGTTACACCAAAAGCATAGGACACAAAATAAAAAACATATAAATTGGACTTGATTAAAATGTGAAACTTTTCTGATTTTTTTGATAAGAAAAACACTCTGTTGTTCGTGTTTTTTGCTACCAAAAAAAAGAACTCCCACTTCTACTAAAATTTGTACAAAAAGCATGAACAACAGAGTGAAAAGACAACCAGCAAATGGGAGAAAAGATTTGAAAATCATGTATCTGACTAGGTACATAAGGTATAATATAATAAGAAGAATATATAAAGAACTTCTAAGACTCAATAACAAAACAAAACAACAACAGCATTTATAAAAAGGAAGAGGACTTGAATCTATATTGAGTCAATAAGTCTACAGAAAAATGCTCAGCATCACCAGTCATGACATGCACATCAAAACCATAATAAGATACCACATTACATCTATTAAGGTGGCTATATAAAAACCAAAACAACAAAAATGAAAAAGTACTGGCTAGTATGTAGGGGAAGTGGAACCCTGGTGCATGGCTGGTGAGAATATAAAATGGTTTATAGACTGTGACCAATAGTTTGGCAGTTTATCAGAAAGTTCTATATATAATTACCATATGTTTCAGCAGCAGGTGGAACACTTCCATATGTCTCAACTAAAGGTGTATCCAAAATAATTAAACGCAAGGACTTAAGCTGCAACCTGGGCCTCTGGGTCTTAAGCGATTCTCGTCCCTCAGTCTCCCGAATAGCTGGGACTACAAGGATGTATCACCATGCCCAGCTAATTTTTATATTTTTAGTAGAAAGGGGGTTTCACCATGTTGCCCGGGCTGGTCTTGAACTCCTGAGCTTAAGTGATTTGCCCGCCTCAGCCTCCCAAAGTTTTGGGATTACAGGTGTGAGCCACCATGCCTGGCCTCTGTTATTCAATCTAAGAACTGCATGCAGAGATGTGTTCAGCTTTTTAAATTTTATTCACTTATGCACTGATACTTTCACACCAATTTTTATAGCAACATCATTTACAGTACAAAATGTAAAAACAAATCCAGATATCTTCTAAGAGATAAAGAGATAAAGAAAATGTGGTATAGACACCACACAACAGAATATTATTTAGCCTTAAAATCAATGCAATGCTGCCGGGTATGGTGGCTCATGCTTATAATCTCAGAATGTTGGGAAGCAAAGATGAGAGGATCTCTTGAGCCTGACAATTTGAGACCAGCCTGAGCAACATAGCAAAATACCATCTCTACAAATAGTACAAAAATTTGCTGGCCTTGATGGTGTGTGCCTACAGTCCCAGCCACAGGGGAGGTCCATCTGAGTCAGAAGGATCACTTGAGCCTGGGGAGGCTGAGGCAGCAGTGAGTCATGATTGCATTTCTGTGCACTCCAGTCTGGGTGACAAAAGAGAGACTCCATCTCAAAAAAAAAATGCAATGCTGATACATGCTACAACATGGATGCACCTTGAAGACATTATACTATGTAAAATAAGCCAAATACAAAAGGATAAATATGTAATGTCAAATTTTGTGTATAGGGGAATGCTATATGAGGCTGGCTCATTCTGAGCAGGAGCAGATTGTTGGGATGTTAGAATACTAGTGGCTCATTATGTTTACACACCAGATCATGGCTGGCAAAGTCGGAAGGCAAGTGCTGCTGTGGGTACCCATCTACCTCAACTGATTGTTCTGAGCCCTTGAGCTGTTATCTAGTGACTTCCAAGGCTGAAGGTCTGTATAGACATAATTCTATGCCTCACCTGGCGAGCAGAAAGTTGCATGGTGTATAAGGAGCAGCAGTGATGGCCAGAAATAGCTCTGAGGCTTCCATATCTGGCTGCCAGTTACTATCTTTGCAGAGCTCCACACAGGAGATTGGCAAAAACGTATTAATGGGGTAACACTCTGTTTCCTTTGGTGTGGGGCAGAAGCTTGCTGTTGCCAACAAGGGCCAGCATTGAAATGAGGTGAGTGGAAGAACAGAGGGTTCTCCAAACCAGCCCAGAAATGGCTGAGAAAGTCCCCCTGAGCAGACAGAGCCATGACAACTCTAAAGGGCTCTGTCCCATATATTAACACACACACTCTCACACACACACACACACACACACACACACACATATATATGAATACACACACACAGAGACATAGATGTAGATATTTATTCTATTGCTTCTATTTCTCTGAATAAGTCTAATACAACCTGTAACTAGCAAAAGACTGCATACGTTATCAAAAATATACTAACAAGAAAAGTCCAGAATCAGATGGCTTCACTGATGAATTGTTTTAAACATTAAAAGTTGTAACTCCAATTTTTCTCACTCTAACAATTGCAATTAGTCAATGCAATATACCAACTCAATAGAATGAATTTTAGAAAAAAACGTGATCACCTCAAGTGATAGAGAAAAAATTTGAAATAATCCAAAACACTTTTATAAGAGCACCTAGTAAACTAGATATAGACTAAAACTTCCTGAACATAAAAAAGGTACATATAAGAAACTCAAAACTACCGCTACATGCAATGGTGAAAGACTAAAAACTTTCTCCTTAAGATCAGGAACAAGACAAAGATAGTTGTGTTTATCACTTCTGATCAAAATTGTAATACAAATCAGGTCAGAATAATTGAGCAATACAAGAAAAGAAACACTCCAATTGGAAAAGAAATAAGCTTATTTCTACATATAGATGTTATAATTTTATATATATAATTAAAATCCTCAGTAATAATGAAGCTGTTAACATTAATAATCAAATTCTGCAAAGTTGTAGAACAGGGGGTCAATACATACACATTAATGGAATAAAATTAAGAGTCAGGAAAAAAATCCATACATGTAGTTTTTTTTTTTTTTTTTGAGATGGAGTCTCACTCTGTTGCCCAGGCTGGAGTGCAGTGGCCCAATCTTGGCTCACTGCAATCTCCACTTCCTGTGTTGACTCTATTCTCCTGCCTCAACCTCCGGAGTAGCTGGGGCTGCAAGCGCCTGCCACCATGCATGGCTAATTTTTTGTATTTTTGGTATTTTTTGTATTTTGGTTTCATCGTGTTAGCCAGGATGGTCTCGATCTTCTGACCTCTTGATCCGCCCGCCTCAGCTTCCCAAAGTGCTGGGATTACAGGAGTGAGCCACCGCGTCAGTTCCCATTCATGTAATTTTTTTAACATGGACTTGGCAAAGCTGCAGGAGCTATTGGAAATCATTTAGTTCATGTATTTTAGCCCATTTTTTATTTTTTTTTTGAGACAGAGTTTCACTCTTGTTGCCCAGGCTGGAGTCCAATGGCGTGATCTCGGCTCACCGCAATCTCCACCCTCCAGGTTCAACTGATTCTCCTGCCTCAGCCTCCCGAGTAGCTGGGATTACAGGCATGCGCCACCACGCCCGGCTAATTTTGTATTTTTAGTAGAGACAGGGTTTCACCATGTTGGTCAGGCTGGTCTGAACTCCCGATCTCAGGTGGTCTGGCCACCTCGGCCTCCCAAAGTGCTGGGATTACAGGTGTGAGCCACCGTGCCCTGCCAACTCTAACCATTTCTTGAAATTGGGTTGCTTTCTTATGCACCTTGTAAAAGCCTTTCCTTCATGCCCCTCGGGTGGACCACAAATCATGGCTGGGTGCTTTCCATTTCACCAATCACTGTTTGCTCAAATAAAGTGGTTAACGTTTTAACATGGAATCCCCTTTTATTTTTAACAAGAGAGACTGGGGACGCCCCGGGCTGCAGCTCCTCCGACGCACACACCGAGTGGGGGTTCTGCCCTGATGACCCACCTGGCATCCCCGAACAATCTGGGGAATACTCGCACTGTGGGCGCACAGCAGGACGCCACGCAGGGACGGGACCGGAGGGCATGAGGCCGGACACGGGGGTCCCTGCTGCTGGCCCAGCCACCATCTTGCAGGCACAGGGGACTGAGGGCCAAGCTGCGCCAGAGACTTGGAGATGACTGTGGGGAGGCCGGTCCTGCTGGTTTCACAGCCTGCTCTCTTCTCTCGGGGTGCCGAACCCCCTTACTCACCATTTCCCAGCTTCCAGGATGTTCTGGTATCTTAGCTATGCGTCCCCAAGTACCTTCAGATTACAGGGCAAAAGAGATTGTGAGGAAGGCCCCATGGAGCTCCCAACATGGAGAAGGTGGAAGAGTAGAGATGGATCCCAAGTTCTGGCGCCAGGGAGAGAAAAAGTTCCCGCCAAACACTGGAAGCCACGCCCTTCCTTCCTCTCCAACTGCGTGCCTGATTGGGCTGTTCCCACGCCACCGCCACCGATTGCATAAAGCTCCAGGGCCCACCCACTCCCCCCCCACCGCCACTCCCCCTCAGCCTTAGTGCCCTTTTTTAAAAAAAAACTTTAAGTTCTGGGATACATGTGCAGAACGTGCAGGTTTGTTCCATAGGTTTACATGTGCCATGGGGGTTTGCGGCACCTATCTTGAACTCCCGACTTCAGGTGATCCGCCCGCCTCCACATCCTAAAGTGCTGGGATTACAGGCGTGAGCCGCCCTGCCCGGCTGCTGCGCCTATCAACCCGCCATCTAGGTTTTAAGCCTCACATGCATTAGTTATTTCTCCTAACGCTCTCTCTCTCCTTGACCCCCATTCTCTGACAGGCCCCAGTGTGTGATGTTTCCCTCCTTGTGTCTATGTGTTCTCATTGTTCAACTTCCTTTTATGAATGAGAACATGTGGTGTTTGTTTTCCTGTTCCTGTGTTAGTTTGCTGAGGATGATGGTTTCCAGCTTCATTCAAGTCCCTGCAAAAGACATGAACTCATCCTTTTTTATGGCTGCATAATATTCTATGGTGTATATGTGCCTCATTTTCTTTCTCCAGTCTATCACTGATGGGCATTAGGGTTGGTTCCAATTCTTTGCTATTGTAAACAGGGCTGCAATAAACATACGTGTGCATGTGTCTTTATAGTAGAATGATTTATAATGCTTTGAGTATATACCCAGTAATGGGATTGCTGGGTCAAATGATATTTCTGGTTCTAGATCCTTGAGAAATTGTCACACTGTCTTCCACAATGGTTGAACTAATTTACCCTCCCACCAACAGTGTAAAAGCATATCTATTTCTCCACAGCTTCACCAGCATCTGTTGGTTCCTGACTTTTTAATAATTGCCATTCTAACTGGCATGAGATGGTATCTCATTGTGGTTTTGATTTGCATTTCTCTAACGACCAGTGATAATGAGGTTTATGTTTTTTGGTCGCATAAATGTCTTATTTATTTATTTATTTATTTTAATTTTTGAGACTAAGTCTTGCTCTGTTAGCCAGGGTGCAGTGTAGTGGCAGGATCTCGGCTCACTGCAATATCCACTTCCCAGTTTCAAGTGTTTCTCCTGCCTCAGCCTCCCAAGAAGCTGGGATTACAGGGGCACACCAAAAGGCCCAGCTAGTTTTTTGTATTTCTAGTAGAGAAGAGGTTTCACTATGTTGGCCAGGCTGGTCTCATGATCCTCCTGCCTCGACCTCCCAAAATGCTGGGATTACAGGCCTGAGCCACCTCGCCCAGCCAAATGTCTTCTTTTCAGAAAAGTCTGTTCATATCCCTTGTCCACTTTCTGATGGTGTTTGTTTGTTTTTTTTTTTTCTTGTGAATTTGTTTATGTTTGGATATAAGACCTTCGTCAGATGGATAGATTGCAAAAATTTTCTCCCATTCAGTAGGTTGTCTGTTCACTCAGATGATAGCTTCTTTTGCTGTGCAGAAGCTCTTTAGTTTAACTAGATCTCATTTGTCAATTTTGCTTTCTTTGCAACTGCTTTCGGTGTTTTAGTCATGAAGTCTTTGCCCATGCTTCTGTCCTGAATGGTATTGCCTAGGTTTTCTTCTAGGGTTTTTATGTTTTGGGGTTTTACATGTAAGACCTTAATACAGCCAGGGACAGTGGCTCATGCCTGTAATCCAGGCACTTTGGGAGGCTGAGGCAAGCAAATCACAAGGCCAGGAGTTCGAGATCAGCCTGGCCAACATGGTGAAACCCCATCACTACTAAAAATACAAAAAAATTAGCTGGGCGTAGTGGTGGGTGCCTGTAATCTCAGCTACTTAGGAGGCTGAGTCAGGAGAATTGCTAGAAAGGTATTTCTCTTTCTATTTGAAAACGGAGGTTGCAGTGAGCAGAGATCACTCCACTGTACTCCAGCCTGGGCAACAGAGTGAGATTCCATCTTAAAAAAAAAAAAAAAATCACAAAACAAAAAAACTTTTTTTTTTGTTTTTTGTCTTTTTTTTTTTTAATTCTTTAAGTTTTAGGGTACATGTGCACAATGTGCAGGTTAGTTACATATGTATACATGTGCCATGTTGGTGTGCTGCACCCATTAATTCGTCATTTAACATTAGGTATATCTCCTAATGCTATCCTTCCCCCCTCCCCTGACCCCACAACAGGCCCTGGTGTGTGATGATCCCCTTCCTGTGTCCATGTGTTCTCATTGTTCAATTCCCACCTATGAATGAGAACATGCAGTGTTTGGTTTTTCATCTTTGCGATAGTTTGCTGAGAATGATGGCTTCCAGCTTCATCCATGTTCCTACAAAGGACATGAACTCATCATTTTTTATGGCTGCATAGTATTCCATGGTGTATATGTGCCACATTTTCTTAATCCAGTCTATCATTGATGGACATTTGGGTTGGTTCCAAGTCTTTGCTATTGTGAATAGTGCTGCAATAAACATACGTTTGCATGTGTCTTTATAGCAGCATGATTTATAATCCTTTGGGTATATACCCAGTAATGGGATGGCTGGGTCAAATGGTATCTCCAGTTCTAGATCCCTGAGGAATCGCCACACTGACTTCCACAATGGTTGAACCAGTTTACAGTCCCACCAACAGTGTAAAAGTGTTCCTATTTCTCCACATCCTCTCCAGCACCTGTTTCCTGACTTTTTAATGATCGCCATTCTAATTGATGTGAGATGATATCTCATTGTGGTTTTGATTTGCATTTCTCTGATGGCCAGTGATGATGAGCATTTTTTCATGTGTCTTTTGGCTGCATAAATGTCTTCTTTTGAGAAGTGTCTGTTCATATCCTTTGCCCAATTTTTGATGGGGTTGTTTGTTTTTTTCTTGTAAATTTGTTGGAGTTGATTGTAGATTCTGGATATTAGCCCTTTGTCAGATGAGTAGATTGCAAAAATTTTCTCCCATTCTGTAGGTTGCCTGTTCACTCTGATGGTAGTTTCTTTTGCTGTGCAGAAGCTCTTTAGTTTAATTAGATCCCATTTGTCAAGTTTGGCTTTTGTTGCCATTGCTTTTGGTGTTTTAGACATGAAGTCCTTGCCCATGCCTATGTCCTGAATGATATTGCCTAGGTTTTCTTCTAGGGTTTTTATGGTTTCAGGTCTAACATTTAAGTCTTTAATCCATCTTGAATTAATTTTTGTATAAAGTGTAAGGAAGTGATCCAGTTTCAGCTTTCTACATATGGCTAGCCAGTTTTCCCAGCACCATTTATTAAATAGGGAATCCTTTCCCCATTGCTTGTTTTTGTCAGGTTTGTCAAAGATCAGATAGTTGTAGATATGCAGCATTATTTCTGAGGGCTCTGTTGTGTTCCATTGGTCTATATCTCTGTTTTGGTACCAGTACCATGCTGTTTTGGTGACTGTAGCCTTGTAGTATAGTTTGAAGTCAGGTAGCATGATGCCTCCAGCTTTGTTCTTTTGGTTTAGGATTGACTTGGCAATGTTGGTTCTTTTTTGGTTCCATATGAACTTTAAAGTAGTTTTTTCCAATTCTGTGAAGAAAGTCATTGGTAGCTTGATGGGGATGGCATTAAATCTATAAATTACCTTGGGCAGTATGGCCATTTTCACGATATTGATTTTTCCTACCCACAAGCATGGAATGTACTTCCATTTGTTTGTATCCTCTTTTATTTCCTTGAGCAGTGGTTTGTGGTTCTCCTTGAAGAGGTCCTTCACATCCCTTGTAAGTTGGATTCCTAGGTATTTTATTCTCTTTGAGGCAATTGTGAATGGGAGTTCATGCATGATTTGGCTCTCTATTTGTCTGTTATTGGTGTTTAAGAATGCTTGTGATTTTTGCACATTGATTGTGTATCCTGAGACTTTGCTGAAGTTGCCTATCAGCTTAAGGAGATTTTGGGCTGTGACGATGGGGTTTTCTAGATGTATAATCATGTCATCTGCAAACAGGGACAATTTGATTTCCTCTTTTCCTTATTGAATACCCTTTATTTCCTTCTCCTGCCTGATTGCCCCGGCCAGAACTTCCAACACTATGTTGAATAAGAGTGGTGAGAGAGGGCATCCCTGTCTTGTGCCAGTTTTCAAAGGGAATGCTTCCAGTTTTTGCCCATTCAGTATGATATTGGCTGTGGGTTTGTCATAGATAGCTCTTATTATTTTGAAATACATCCCATCAATACCTAATTTATTGAGAGTTTTTAGCATGAAGTGCTGTTGAAATTTGTCAAAGGACTTTTCTGCATCTATTGAGATAATCATGTGGTTTTTCTCGTTGGTTCTGTTTATATGCTGGATTACGTTTACTGATTTGCCTATGTTGAACCAGCCTTGCATCCCAGGGATGAAGCCCACTTGATCATGGTTGATAAGCTTTTTGATATGCTGCTGGATTCAGTTTGCCTGTATTTTATTGAGGATTTTGCATCAATGTTCATCAAGGATATTGGTCTAAAATTGTCTTTTTCTGTTGTGTCTCTGCCAGGCTTTGGTATCAGGATGATGCTGACCTCATAAAATAGTTAGGGAGGATTCCCTCTTTTTCTACTGATTGGAATAGTTTCAGAGGGAATGGTATCAGCTCCCCCTTGTACCTCTGGTAGAATTCAGCTGTGAATCAATCTGGTCCTGGACTTTCTTTGGTTGGTAAGCTATTAATTATTGCTTCAATTTCAGAGCCATTATTGGTCTATTCAGAGATTCAACTTCTTCCTGGTTTAGTCTTGGGAGGGTGTATGTGTCAAGGACTTTATCCATTTCTACTGGATTTTTTACTTTATTTGTGTAGAGGTGTTTATAGTATTCTCTGATGGTAGTTTGTATTTCTGTGGGATCAGTGGTGATATCCCCTTTACCATTTTTTATTGCGTCTATTTGATTCTTCTCTCTTTTCTTCTTTATTAATCTTGCTAGCGGCCTATCAATTTTGTTGATCTTTTCAAAAAATCAGCTGCTGGATTCATTGATTTTTTGAAGGGTATTTTGTGCCTCTATTTCCTTCAGTTCTGCTCTGATCTTCATTATTTCTTGCCTTCTGCTAGCTTTTGAATGTGTTTGCTCTTGCTTCTCTAGTTCTTTTAATTGTGATGTTAGGGTGTCAATTTTAGATCTTTCCTGCTTTCTCTTGTGGGCATTTAGTGCTATAAATTTCCCTCTACACACTGCTTTGAATGCATCCCAGAGATTCTAGTATGTTGTGTCTTTGTTCTCATTGGTTTCAGAGAACATCTTTATTTCTGCCTTGATTTTGTTATGCACCCAGTAGTAATTCAGGAGCAGGTTGTTCAGTTTCCATGTAGTTGAGAGGTTTTGAGTGCGATTCTTAATCCTGAGTTCTAGTTTGATTGCACTGTGGTCTGAGAGTTAGTTTGTTATAATTTCTGTTCTTTTACATTTGCTGAGGAGAGCTTTACTTCCAAGTATGTGGTCAATTTTGGATTAGGTGTGGTGTGGTGCTGAAAAAAATGTATATTCTGTTGATTTGGGGTGGAGAGTTCTGTAGATGTCTATTAGGTCCACTTGGTGCAGAGCTGAGTTCAATTCCTGGGTATCCTTGTTGACTTTCTGTCTCATTGATCTTTCTAATGTTGACAGTGGGGTGTTAAAGTCTCCCATTATTAATGTGTGGGAGTCTAAGTCTCTTTGTAGGTCACTCAGGACTTGCTTTATGAATCTGGGTGCTCCTGTGTTGGGTGCATATATATTTAGGATAGTTAGCTCTTCTTGTTGAATTGATCCATTTATCATTATGTAATGGCCTTCTGTGTCTCTTTTGAGCTTTGTTGGTTTAAAGTCTGTTTTATCAGAGACTAGGATTGCAACCCCTGCCTTTTTCTGTTTTCCATTTGCTTGGTAGACCTTCCTCCATCCCTTTATTTTGAGCCTATGTGTGTCTCTGCATGTGAGCTGGGTTTCCTGAATACAGCACACTGATGGGTCTTGACTCTTTATCAAATTTGCTAGTCTGTGTCTTTTAATTGGAGCATTTAGCCCTTTTACATTCAAGGTTAATATTGTTATGTGTGAATTTTATCCTGTCATTATGATGTTAGCTGGTTATTTTGCCCTTTAGTTGGTGCAGTTTCTTCCTAGCCTTGATCGTCTTTACAATTTGGCATGTTTTTGCAGTGGCTGGTACCAGTTGTTTCTTTCCATGTTTATTGCTTCCTTCAGGAGCTCTTTTAGGGCAGGCCCGGTGGTGACAAAAGCTCTCAGCATTTGCTTGTCTGTAAAGTATTTTATTTCTCCTTCACTTATGAAGCTTAGTTTGGCTGGATATGAAATTCTAGGTTGAAAATTATTTTCTTTAAGAATGTTGACTATTGGTCCTCACTCTCTTCTGGCTTGTAGAGTTTCTGCCGAGGGATCTGCTGTTAATCTAATGGGCTTCCCTTTGTGGGTAACCCGACCTTTCTCTCTGGCTGCCCTTAACATTTTTTCCTTCATTTCAACTTTGGAGAATCTGACAATTATGTGTCTTGGAGTTGCTCTTCTTGTGGCGTATCTTTGTGGCATTCTCTGTATTTCCTGAATTTGAAAGTTGCCCTGCCTTGGTAGATTGGGGAAGTTCTGGATAATATCCTGCAGAGTGTTTTCCAACTTGGTTCCATTCTCCCTGTCATTTTCAGGTACACCAATCAGATGTAGATTTGGTCTTTTCACATAGTCCCATATTTCTTGGATGCTTTGTTCATTTCCTTTTATTCTTTTTCCTCTAAACTTCTCTTCTCACTTCATTTCATTCATTTCATCTTCCATCACTGATACCCTTTCTTCCAGTTGATTGAATTGGCTACTGAGGCTTGTGCATTCATCATGTAGTTCTTGTGCCATGGTTTTCAGCTCCATCAGGCCCTTTAAGGACTTCTCTGCTTTGGTTATTCTAGTTAGCCATTCATCTGATTTTTTTTCAAGGTTTTTAACTTCTTTGCCATGGGTTCGAACTTCCTCCTTTAGCTCACAGTAGTTTGATCGTCTGAAGCCTTCTTCTCTCAACTCGTCAAAGTCATTCTCCAACCAGCTTTGTTCCATTGCTGGTGAGGAGCTGTGTTCCTTTGGAGGAGGAGAGGTGCTCAGATTTTTAGAGTTTCCAGTTTTTCTGCTCTGTTTTTTCCCCATCTTTGTGGTTTTATCTGCCTTTGTTCTTTGACGATGGTGACGTACAGAGGGGGTTTTTGTGTGGATGTCCTTTCTTTTTGTTAGTTTTCCTTCTAACAGTCAGGACCCTCAGCTGCAGGTCTGTTGGAGTTTGCTGGAGGTCCACTGCAGACCCTGTTTGCCTGGGAGTCAGCAGCAGAGGCTGCAGAACAGTGGATATTGGTGAGCAGCAAATGTTGCTGCCTGATTGTTCCTCTGGAAGTTTTGTTTCAGAGGAGTACCCGGCCGTGTGAAGTGTCAGTCTGCCCCTACTGTGGATTGCCTCCCTGTTAGGCTACTTGGGGGTCAGGGACCCACTTGAGGGGGCATTGTGTCCATTCTCAGATCTCAAGCTGTGTGCTGGAAGAACCACTACTCTCTTCAAAGCTGTCAGACAGGTACATTTAAGTCTGCAGAGGTTTCTGCTGCCTTTTGTTTGGCTATGCCCTGCCCCCAGAGGTAGAGTCTACAGAGGCAGTCAGGCCTTCTTGAGCTGCAGTGGGCTCCACCCAGTTCAAGCTTCCTGGCCGCTTTGTTTACCTACTCAAGCCTCGGCAATGGCGGGTGCCCCTCCCTAGCCTCACTGCCACCTTGCAGTTTGATCTCAGATTGCTGTGCTAGCGAGGAGAGAGGCTCCGTGGGCATAGGACCTTCCGTGCTAGGCACGGGATATAATCTCCTCGTGTGCCATTTGCTAAGACCATTGGAAAAGCACAGTATTAGGGTGGGAGTGACCCGATTTTCCAGGTGCCATATGTCACCCCTTTCTTTGACTAGGAAAGGGAATTCCCTGACCCCTTGTGCTTCCCGGGTGAGGTGATGCCTTGCCCTGCTTTGGCTCATGCTTGGTGCTCTGCACCCACTGTCCTGTACCCACTGTCTGACACTCCCCAGTGAGATGAACCTGGTACCTCAGTTGGAAATGAAGAAATCACCCGTCTTTTGCATCACTCATGCTGGGAGCTGTAGACTGGAGCTGTTCCTATTTGGCCATCTTGGCTCCACCAAACAAAAAAACTTTAATCCATCTTGAGTTAATATTTGTATAAGATGTAAGGAAGGTCTCCAGTTTCTGTTTTCTGCATAAAGCTAGCCAGTTTTTTCAGCACCATTGTTAAACAGGGATTTTTTTCCCCATTGCTTGTTTTGGTCAGGTTTATTGAAGATCAGATGGTTGTAGATGTGTAGTGTTATTTCTGAGGTGTCTGTTCTGTTTCATTGGTCTATATCTCTGTTGTGGTACCAGTACCATGTGTTTTGGTTGCTATAACCTTTTAATATAGTTTGAAGTCGGGTAGCATGATGCCACAAGCCTTGTTATTTTTGCTTAGGTTTGTCTTGGGTGAACAGGCAAATGGGCTCAAATAGTGGGATCACATGCCCAGAGTATCACAGCTAATTAAGAAGCGAACTTAGACTTGAAATGCACTTGTTCTTTCCCTTACCTGAGTCTGTTTTATAATGCATCTTAGCACCTATTTAAAGGTAGGAAGTAGAACAATTTGGACACCTTTTCCACAACTTTTTAAGCATTTTAATCATGCAGGAAAGACCCTTATCCCATCCTTGAGCTCCTCTCTCATGATGCTGCACCCCATTGCTGACCATATCGTGGGGTGGCCATTAGGAATCAGGTGGGAAGTTGGTTTGGGAATAAATAAGCGAGAATTATGTTGCCCAAATTTGCTCATCTAAGAAAGTCTCCTCAACCATTCTGTGTGAAGAGGTTTTTCCAGGGTAGTTTTGCCCTGACTGTGCTGCATCTCAGTCTGACTTTTCTTTTTGAAAATCACTGTATTACTCTTATTAACGGGGGTAATTCTCTTTCTATTTGAAAACAGCCAACTGTCCTCTGCAGGTGTCTTGATTTGATTTGCTAGTTCAGATTCTGAAGGTAGCGGTGAGAAAATATTTGGGCCACATTTGAATACCTCATTTTCAGCTGGAGGATATATAAAAATTTCTTAACAATATCTAACTGTTTTCTCAATAACCATTATATTTAACTGTGATGGCTTGGAGGGCAGGGCTGGACACAGATGACACAATCTTTGAAGTTTAATTTGGTTGTAAGTTTCTTTTCGTTTCATTTTGCTTTGTTTTTGGATACAAGGTCTTGCTCTGGTGCCCAGGCTGGAGGGCAGTGGTGCAATCATAACTCATAATTTGCTTATAACAGTTCTTTAAAAAATATTTTTGGCTGAGTTTGGTAGCTCCCATCTGTAATCTAAACACTTTGGGAGGCCAAAGTGGAATGATCGCTTGATCCCAGAAGTTCAAGACCAGTCTGGGCAACATAAGTAGGCTCAGTCTCTAGAAAAAGATTTAAAAATTGTCTGGGCATAGCATTGCTTGCCTGTAGTCCTAGCTACTTGAGAGGCTGAGGTGAAAACATCACTTAAGCCTGAGAGTTTGAGGCTGCAGTGACCCATGACTCAGCCACTGCACTGCAGCCTGGGTGACAGAGACCTGTATGTGTATGTACGAGTGTGTGTTTGTGTGTATATATATATATTTCATATATATAGTTATATATATATATGTTCATATATATATGAACAATATGTATGTTAAAAATATGTATGTTAAAAAAATTCAAGCACGGGAGAAAAGTGAAAGCCCTTGGTGGGGGATGTGGAGAAAGGCGAGTATGGCTCCAGCAACTCAGTGAGACTTGGTTTTCCATCCTGAAGAATTGCCCATCCACACTGAAACCATAGCCTAGCACATGCCAGTTCTCACACTACACCTGCTGGGATACCACTGTGTACCCTTTTTTATAAAACAAAATCTTTCATCTAAGAGAAGGAGAGGAGAAAAGGAGGGTTTCACATTCAAAGCCTTCATTTTTTAATGAAACAACAGCCACTTGTCATTTCAGTTGTCCAAAAGTGACTGACAGCACTAATACACTTAAGGAATCAACCAAAGAAAATAGGCCTCTCAGGTGAGGAGGAGGCACAATGGTAACTAAACCCAATCCATTCTCAGCTTAGCATGATGCCCACATCTCAAGAAGTGGTGTTGGCCATGTGAACCGTGTTCACTGGACAAGGCCAGGGGAAAGGAATTTCTAAGACATACAGCACCCTCTAAACACTCCAAAAGACATTCAGCTATACGTGTGGCTGAGGACCTGCCTGCTATGCAGAGGGATGACTGAGCAGCAGCCACCAGCTGTAAAAGCTTTAAACTCCTCCTCTCATAGGGACTGGCCACCCGCACACACCCCGCCTCACTTCCTAGGTTCTGGCCATCAGGTGCACCTGGGGGACTGCCTTCCTCCCATCTCATTAGCTCTCCAAGAGTGTCCAGCTCACTCTAAAACCTACCCTAGGATGAGAAGTTGTAGATTCTCCTCCATTCTCCCAGAGCAGTGTGACTTCTGAAGAGTACTGCCCAATCTTCTTACCTCAACTGATGTGACAAGGGCTGGTGCCCGGGCAGTTAGATGTCCAGTGACATAACAGGCTCAGCATGCCCAGGGCCTAGCCCCACAGCCTGGCATCTCTCCCCCACCTAGCCTTCATGCCGGCGTTTTCTCTTCTGTCACCAGTGTCAGGTGATGTTCATCTGTGCCACACTCATGAGCCTGGTAAGCGAGAGGTGGGTAAACTCCAACTGAGTGCCTGTGACTCCACCCTCTTACCTCCCACTCAAGTGACATTATAAGCATAATTTTACATTTGATCTAATTTATGCATATTGTTCTTTTCATAACATTTCTAACAACAGCCCTCACAACCAAATGAGTCTGGGTTACAGAACACACAGGCGAGGCTGGGGTAGCAGGTTTCACTTACTTTATTTCAATGTGAAATGAAAATGTGATGGTTTAAAAACAAGAAAAAGTTATTGATCAACTGTGGGGTTGCTACACTTGCTACCTCATACTCACTTCCTTTGAAACAGGGTATCTGGACAGACCATATTCATAAGTAGAGCTTTGCAAAATCCCAGTCAGACACAGCTCCCTCAGGCTCACAGGGCAGCAACTTCCTCCGCCATGTTGGGCTTTGCCAGCAGGAAAGGGAAGGAGCACAGACAGGGGGTGACAAGGAGCAGCCTGGGGCCTTAGGGATCCCCAAACTCCCCAGAGCTGGTCTCTGTAGAAGGGGCTGCGTGGCAAGGACCAGGTAGGGAGCTGGGCTCCACAGAGAGGTGACAATCACTCCTGTATCTCTAAATTTCCCCCAGGTTCCATGATCCAGCCCTGCTTTCCCCCAGGCCCTTCACCCACCCTATCCCCACTGTGTATTAGGCAGCTCGGGTCAAAATGGGAGAATAATACATTCAGATTGTAGCCTCTGGGTATTCCCATCTGGCATGCAGGGAGTAGGGAGGCAAGTCAGGGCCTGTGGTGGTGCCTCTTGCTGTGCCTGAGAGCAGACAGGCCAGGGTTGGCCACTTGGACGTCTGCATGACCACCACTGCTGACTCCCTCCCTCTCAATCAGAGCTACAACCAGGCCAGGCCTATCATGATTAACAAAACCACTGCAGCTGCCATCCTGTCACAAAACTAATGTGCACCCAATGCCAGCCCTACACAGATCTCTGGCTTCCTATTCCAGGACACAGAAAAGCCTCTTATCTTTTCTACTTAAAATCCAGATTTTAAGCCAGATTGGTCCTGGGGATAGTGGCAGCAAAAGCAGCAGCCAGATGTATACATTCCAGGTGTATACACTCATGGGCTTGGGCACGTTCCACACTTGCTGGAGGATGAGAGGCCTGAGAGGCACCTGTTTCCCAGCTGCTAACTGATGTCCACATACTCCATTCATGTGTCTTCATTTAGGCCTCTGCATCAAATATTGATGAGCCATTGCAAACATATCTTTTGGGAGGCATCGTTAATTTCAGCACCAGACCCCACTTGTTCTGGAGGCAGTCAGGAGCTATCTGGTCAGCTCCTAATCTCCCAGGACAAAGGTGCTATCTTTTTGCCAGCACTCACATCCAGCAGCACCATCTCGGGATGTTTTCTTAAAACATGAGCAGCATGAGGTAGCAGGTATGGCATGGCAGGCTCAGGACCATGGGCAGCTGACTGCTGGAGAAGTAGCACAGGGCAGATGCACCTGTGGGTGGCACCATAACAAGCCAAGGCAGCCACAGCCTCTACCCCCTACAGCCCCAGCCCAGGTGGTGTTCAAATCTTCCCGGATGGTATTGGGGTGCCCGATGCCCATCACTCACCCACTCATTAGCACTGCCTTGTGTTGGTTACTCAGGAGAGGGTGTGGGGGATGTATATCCAGGGTGGCACCACCTCACAGCCAGAGTCCACCTGACTGCAGGCCAGCAAGAAGCCCAGGCAGCTCAACTCTAGACACTTGGCCTCATCACCTCTGGATGCACTTTCTATGTATACTTTGCACTAAGGTAGCAAAAAGAGGTCAACAGTAGCTGTTGTGACATGAAAGTCTATGCCCCATTAAGACCTTCTAAAATTTTGTTGTCTTAAGCCCCCTTTCTTCTAATAAAATTTTTGCAAATACACAAATACAAGCCTGAAACTACTCTAAATGAAATATTAGGATATTTAAACCCATAAATAAACAGACGAACATGAAAACAGTCACTGTTTGGTTGCAGAGAAAGTGGGAGTCTAAAGTGGCTGACCCCAAAATGGTCTCACCAAGCCCCAGGCAGGCCAGGCAGTCTGAAAACTACAAGGCCACGTGATGGTCACAGAGGATGACAGATCCCATGAGTACTTGTCAGGCAGTGTGTTAGTACTCACAGAGTTTCAGAATGCCTCCTCCCCAATACCCTGTGAGGGGAGGCCCTGCCTCACTAGAGCACAGGAGGTTCCTGAGCTCTTCCCAGAAGATGGTTATCAAAGGGTGGAGCTGGGGGCAGCCCATACAGAACATGTGAGTCCCCTGGGTCTCCCTACCCTCACTCTGCTCCTCCACATGGGGCCCTGAGAGGAATTGAGCAGCCTCCTAACCCCCTTGATAGGATTCCAGTCATGCAGGTCTGGACTCTCTCATTTTGTGGTACCATAGAGGGTGACAATGCAACCCCAGACCCCTCGTTTTCCATCCTTCCATTCCAGGCCAGGCCTAAAGGCCTTTGCTGACACAGCCCAGGGGGTGCTTGAGGCCCATCTCGGCATAGTCACCCATAGTGTTGTGGAATGAGCAAAGAGGTGCAAGTAGGCGTAATCCCCATGGGTGTGGCCTCAGGCATGTTCTACAGGCTCAGGACCTCCCTGATGAGCTCACAATCCTCTTTAAGGAAGCCTGCAGAGCACACACCCAGGAAGCAATGCTCAGATGAGCAGACAGTCCCCAGATCCCCCACCCCATGATGCTCTGTCCCACTTTGCAGAGCTTCTGCATTGGCCAGATTGGCCAGTCCCCACTGTTTCTGGTGAGATGTCCGAGTTGAAGTGAGCGTTGAAGGCCATAGAGTTGATGGAGCTGACTGCCTTGCACATGTTGTAAATCACCTCCTGGCTCCAAGGGTCAGCTGTGGTGACACCACTTGATGGGAGGTAGAACCATGCCACCATCAGTGTGGCTGGGCTGCCCTGATCTACGCACTCCAGCTCCTTGCAGAGATGTCTGCCTGCTTCTCTCAGGGGCTGGGTCATAAGCCACCTCTGGCAAGGACCAGCTGGCAGGACAGGCTGGGCACTCTCCCCCAGCATCCTCAGCAGCCCTGCCTGTGCTGTCACCTGTGCTGATGATCTCCAAGGTAAGATTAGGAGAAATTTTTAAGGCAACTTCTTCCCCCTGATTTCTCTATCTTAATAACAGCACTGATAACTTTTAAGCCCTAGCAAGCTGAAACTGTAAGACAAATGAGCTCCTGCCTTAGAAGGGCCAAGATTGGGGAGTGTGTGTCCAGGTGAGAGCCCAATGGTTGTTAGTGAAGAGGAAGAGCTGGATGGCCCTGGCCACTTAGCCTAGTGAAAAGTAGGGCCTTCTCCTTCCAGAGAATCAAAGTCTCAAAGGCCAGAAAAAGATGCTTGGGTGGTCTGCCAAGAAGCAGAAGGCTAGAAGGCCTTGCAGGGGACCCCAGACAGCCTTCAGGGTGCCTGAGAGGGCTGGGCTCATTTCTGCTTTCCTTGCTTTCATCCTGTCAGCAAGAAAACCTGCCTGCAGATAGTAGATGGGCCTGAGGCTGCCAGTCAGTCGAGGCTGTAGGCATTTTGATTGTTGTTCTTTCTTGAAGCAGCCGCTAAGGCCGGTTCTTGCAGAATAGTTCCCTCATTGTCTGCAGCTCCTTGTTTCAGTCCTCAGTCTGCAGAGGGACCAGGGAGAGAGGCAAGGGCTCAGCCTGTGCCCCACAACATGCTCTGAGAAGTCTTTTTTTTTCAGACGGAGGAGAAGTCTCTTTTGTTACCTCCCTATGGACAGCCTCAAACTTCCAAATGAACAGACCAGCAAGGAGCCTCCAGGAAAGTGCACAGCATTCTGTCTAGTACCCAAGAGGAAGGGGGTTCCCACTGAGGGCAGGACCAGGCTGCATGCACCTGTTCAGGAATGTTCTCCTCATAGTCCAGCCTCAAGGTTTAGGCATTCTCTGTGTGCATGGAGTCCATGACAGCCTCTGCCTGGGAAGCTGTCCAGCTGCACACCTGGAATGGAGTGGTGACCTGGGAGAATGGGTGGTGCTGGACCTTGTGGAAGGCAGGGAAGAGGGAGATACACAGCCCATCAAGCCCAGAACCCTGCCATAGGCTTCTTCTCTGAGACTCCCATCTGCTCTAGGATCTTCTCGCCCTAAGAAGCTACCCTGAGGTCAGATAGAAGCAAATGGGCACCACTCCCAGGGATGCCCCCTGTCACACTGACAGCTCCCTAGAGGGGACTCACGCAATGGGGACAGATTGGGCAGAAGCTCTGGAGTTTCAGCTGGCTGGTTCATCTCATAAGCCCCTGTGACATGACACAAGTCAGGGACAGATGAAACAATGACATTACATTTTCTTTCTTTCTTTTTTTTTTTTTTTTTGAGATGAAGTCTCACTCTGTCACCCAGACTGGAGTGAAGCAACGTGATCTCGGCTCACTGCAACCTCCACCTCCCAGGTTCAAGGGATTCTCCTGCCTCAGCTTCCCGAGCAGCTGGGACTACACGCATGCATCACCATGCCCAGCTAATTTTTTCATTTTTAGTAGAGATGGAGTTTCACCATATTGGCCAGGCTGGTCTTGAACTCCTGACCTCTTGATCCACCTGCCTTGGCCTTCCAAAGTGTTGGGATTACAGGCATGAGCCACCTCACCTGGCAACCTTACCTTTTCTTTCATGGCATGACAAAGTGTTTTGTGACATTCAGTCTGCTGTACTTGAGCAGCTCCAGTGGGGAATGGCTTAGGAAGCAGGGGCTGGTGGGCTTGGGGTTGAGTGATAGGCTGTAGACCTACAAGGAGGAAGTGGGCACTGAGCAAATGCCCTGGTTGTCTTTCCACAAACCCAGGACAAGTGGCATCCCAGGAGCTTGTAGGGAGCCAGCAGAGACTCACTGGATCCAGTAAGAGCCCCACGTGGATGCAGTGATGCTGCCCTTCTGGTCTTTGTCTGTAATTGCAAAGAGGTACATGAGGTCCCCTTGCATCTTGCAGTTACCAGGAAGTGGGTTCCAGTTGCTCATGCTAGGCACTTTTAGGCACTGAAAGTGCTTCAGGAATGGCCAAGTAGAAATAAGCTCTCCACCTCACCGAGGACACTTTTCCTTGCTCTCTTTGGGAGTTCCACCTTCCAGTCATGGCTCTGGAGATACAATGGCCCCTCCTGGGTCCCTGGCAAGATGTATTCAGGTGGCACACAGTGAAAGAGGCTCATCTCCAAGCCATTCTTTCACTTCCCACTGTTTGAGGGACTCGAGGCTGATGGTCAGCACAGGGCCAACCAGGGCCAGATATCTCCACCTAAATTTGACCCTAGTTTGAGTGCCTCCAGGCCAGACCCCTCCAGGTGGGAAAACCTGGTCCTCAGCCTCTGGCCTCCATGCTCCCTTTCCTTCTTTTTCAATTCTGGCCCCAATGTCTCCCCCAAGTGTCAGGTAATTGGAGAAGATGCTCAGAAAGAAGAAGCAGCTTTAGTCAGTCCTGCTGAAGGCAGCAGATGGGACCAAGCTCTTGAGCTGGTCTTGGACATGGTTCAAGTGGAAGCAGGCCTTGAGCAGTGTGTGTAGCTCTTTCAGGGAGAGGGAAGTAGGATGTTACCAGGGCCCTATACCTCCATCAGCACAGAAAATAGTTTACAAGATGCTTTCATGGGTGATTTTATTTTTAAACTTTAGGCTTCCATTTTCAAATTCCATAATGAACACATAAGGTGGGGTTCTAATTTCAACACACATACAAAAACAAACACACACACACTCCTGTCTGCTAGTGGACAAGGAAACTTTCTTACAAAGAATCTTCTGCCCAATGCCTCTGAAGCACACGTGGGTCTTGGGGAGCCGACAAGGCTAACTGCTTTTCGTGCCCTAGTGTCTTGGGTAGACAGAGCCTTTAGAGCTGTCTTTTTGGGCAGCCCTCATGCAGGGGTGTGCTGAGGACTCCCCAGAGCCTCCAACTTCAGCACCCTCTTCCAATGTGTGTTTCATTGGATTTTAATGGTGGCTGTTTTGGGAAAGAGGAAAGGTTCTGTGATCAATTATGGGCACCATTGAGCTACAAATCGTTTCCATAATTGCTCTTAGAAAGCAGGTAAACCCTGGGAACATGAATGGCTTTTCTCCAGGGAACATGAGTACTTGAGAGATTTTGCTTTACAATCAGGCGAATCTCACCACAGCAGTTGGTGGTGCTGCACTGGGCAGACTTCCCCACTCAAATACTGTGAAGCTTTTTAAGTTTTTTTTTCAAGGCATCATTTATCATTACAGAATTTGATTGGGCTGATATCAAGCCTGCCTTGGTACTGCCTGATTTTTTTAGAATCACAACTCTGTTCTTTAACTTATGGGCTATGAAGTTATAAGGTGCTGGTGTGACAGCCTGAGAAGGAAGCCTGTGCTCCAATCCTATATTCACGTACTCATCCGGGATGCAGAGACCTCAGAGGAGTGGGGAAGTGCTGCCTGGCCCTGCTTTTGGAGGCCATCCCCAAGGCAGTCCACCCAACTTCCAAACCAGCCTTCCCTCACGCACAGCCCTGAGCCCTCCTGCAGCTCCTCAGTGCTTCGCAGCCCTGGGAAGTGGTTTGGCATGTTGCTGTCCAGGTGCAGTGAGAAGCAGGTGCAGTGACACATGTCTTCATGGACCATGAGTACCGGGTAAATCTCCTGCACGATCTCCTTAAGTGACACCTGTAGGGAGAACGCCCCAACAACTCTGATGAGAAACCACATGGCTAGAAGCAAGGACTTACACTTTCCGCAGCCCAAAGTCCTGAGAATCATGCCAAAAATTCTCAGTTTTCCAATTTTTCAAAATTTATTTTTTTTAGAATCCCAGGCCCCGTCTATACATGACATGCCTACTTGCACCTGTCTGTGTGTGCAGAACAAAGCCTGGCCACACTGACTATTCCTGCAGACCAAGAAAAATCCCTATGCAGAGTAGGGGGAGATGGAAGAACTAAGGGAGACAAAATGGCAGCTTTGCCTCCTCTCTTGCCCAGTGCTAAGGTCTCCAGTGCAAACAGATTTTGCCTTCAACTTCGAGTTAACAGCATACAAAATGTACTCATTTTTACTTTCCCTACTTTCTTATTAATGTTACAAATTATATCTCTCTATATTGTGTGTATTTTCACAGAGATTTAAGAATTTTATGCACCATTATTATTACAATAGCAAATTTTATATCTGTGTATATATTTACATTTAACAGAGAGTTTTATATTTTCATATGGTTTTATGATGCTGTCCAGCAACATTTAATGTTTCAACATAATTGACTCTCTTCAGCATTTTTTTTCTAAGGTTATTCTAGTAGTAAACAACCTTAGATTTTTTATTTCAATATTTGAAAGTATTTATTTTTTCTAATTTTTGAAGTACAGTTTTTTCCAGATCAATTATTCTTGGTTGCTAGTATTTTTTGTTTCATCACTGAAATGTGTAAAGTTCTCAGCATCCCCTCTTTTTCCCCCAAATAACACTTCTGCCATTTTCTTCCTATATTATTTCTATAAGAACCTTTCTCTGAATATATTGGTCTACTTGATGGTGTCCAGTAAGTCTCATATTTCACCCTTATTTTTCTCATTCTTTTCAAAAATTAGTTTCCAGGCCTAAATATTTGTGAATAATACAGGCTTAATTTCCTGATTCATTTTTTGCTCCATTGTTTGCTGTTGTGTCTCTGTAGGGAATTTTTAAACCTCACTTATTGTATCCTTCAACTCCACAATTTCTGTTGGGTTTTTAGAAAAAGGTTTCATCTCTTTGTTGATATCACATTTTGGTCATTTATTATTTTAAATGCTATTCAATTGTCTATTTTTGTTTTATTTTTGTTCACTGAGAATGCTTAAGTTGATTATTTTGAATTCTTCATCAGATATGCAAAAATCTTCATTTCTTAAGATTCAACTTCTGGATATTTATTCTGTTTCTTCCAGTGAAGCATATTTTCCATCTTCTCTGTATGCCTTGTAATTTTTTTATAAGATCTGGAAATTCATACAACATCCTTAAAATCTAGCATTTAAAGACTGGCACCGCTGGGTGCGATAGCTTATGCCTGCAATCCCAGCACTTTGGGAGGCCGAGACGGGCAGATTACTGGAGGCCAGGTGTTTTGAGACCAGCCTGACTAACATGGCAAAACACCGTCTTTACTGAAAATACAAAAAATTAGCCTGGTGTTGTGGTGCCCACCTATCGTCCCAGCTACTCAGGAGACTGAGGCAAGAGAATCGCTTGAACCTGGGAGATGGAGGTCGAAGTGAGCTGAGATTGCACCACTGCACTCCAGCGTGGGTGACAGCAAAACTCCATCTCAAAAAAAAAAAAAAAAAACAAAAAACAAACAAACAAAAAACAACTAAAAAACCAAAACAAAACAAAACAAAAAACTGGGTTAGTAAAGCGGGGGATACTGACAGCAATCAGCGAGGCTATGGATTACAGATTCTGGTTGCTTCACAGACGCATTCTCAGATATGTCTTGTTTGGATTTGTGTGTATTTCTAAGTTAAAGAGAATTAGTTTCATTGTTTTTAGATTGATTACCTGTTTTCTTCCTCAGTTGACTCTCTGTGGTGTTGCAGTTTCTCTAGTGCTGTAACCCAGCATTCATCTTTCTTCTCATCCGACACCACTGTCATCCGTATGACCCCATCATGTCCTTCAGCACTCCATGTCAGGAGAGAGACAATCTAGTCATTAGGCAATCTCTCAAAAAGACAAATATTTCAACACATATTCTACAGTTTAAAATCTCTCCTGAGGAAGATGCTGGGAGTTGGGCATTTTCTGGTGAGCCCAATTACTGTTGTGGGGAAGGAAAAAAAAAAAAAACTGTGGTGGACAGTCTGTAGCAAAGAAAAAATTCCTGGAGTGTGAAAAGAGAGGAGGCAAAAGCCATATACAAAGCAAGGTGAAAATAAATGAGCAGGTAACACATAGGAGAGGTCCAAAGGTCACAGAGAAGGCGAGAGTTTAAATGTGGTTTGGTCATCTCTGCTCCAATGGAAATTGTTTTGGAAAAGACTAGTTTTATTTATCTTGCTGTCACAGAGAAACATGTTCCTGTCCCATGCTTACTATGCTCTTCAATCTTCTACAGCTTATTTTCTCCTTCCCAGACTCTTCCAGTGCATTCACACTAAAAATCAAAGTCCTCCCAGAATCTTTAAGAACCTACAGGATCTGACTAGTTTTCATTACTTTTGGGAATCTGGGGAAATCTGTGCACATTTCTGGAGACCTCTATGTTATGCTATTTTTTTTTTTTTTTTTTGAGATGGAGTGTCGCACTGTCACCCAGGCTGGAGTGCAGTGGCGCAATTTCGGCTCACTGCAAGCTCCACCTTCCGGGTTCACACCATTCTCCTGCCTCAGCCTCCCGAGAAGCTGGGACTACAGGTGCTCACCACCACACCAGGCTAATTTTTTTTTTTTTTTTTTGTATTTTTAGTAGAGACGGGGTTTCACCGTGTTAGCCAGGATGGTCTTGATCTCCTGACCTCGTGATCTGCCCGCCTCGGCCTCCCAAAGTGCTGGGATTACAGGCGTGAGCCACCGCCCCCATCATGTTATGACATTTTTTAATAAATCTGTGGTGCTTCAAGTCAGAAGTGTATGAGGGGAGTTGTGGAGGCATTGGGAGGCATTGGGATTTGGTTTAGAAATTCCAGGAAGAGTAGTGCAAAAGGCGTGTGAGCAAGGTGCTCGGAGACGTCGCGGCAAGCTGTCGTTGCTTCTGAACAGCCTGCTCACCGGTACACCAGGGGTTGGAAAAACCACACTAGGCAAAGAAGTTGCATCAGTATCAGGACTGAAATACATTAATGTGGGTGATTTATCTTGAGAAGAGAAATCCTATGATGGCTATGATGAAGAGTGATTGTCCCATTTTAGACGAAGACAGAGTAGTTGATGAGTTAGATAACAAATGAGAGAAGGTGGAGTTATTGTTGATTACCACGGTTGTGACTTCTTCCCTAAACGCTGGTTTCATATAATTTTTGTGCTGAGAACAGATACCAATGTATTGTATGAAAGACTTGAAACAAGGGGTTATAATGGGAAAACTCTAACAGACAATATTCAGTGTGAGATTTTTCAAGTTCTTTATGAAGAAGCCACAACATCCCACAAGGAAGAAATCGCGCATCAGTTGCCCAGCAATAAACCAGAAGAGCTAGAAAATAATGTAGATCAGATTGGCCGGGGGCGGTGACTCATTCCTGTAATCCCAGAACTTTGGGAGTCAGAGGTGGGTGGATCACGAGATCAAAAGATCAAGACCATCCTGGCTAACACCGTGAAACACCGTCTCTACTAAAAATAATAATAATAAAAAAAATTAGCCCAGATGTGGTGATGGGCGCCTGTAGTCCCAACTACTCAGGAGGCTGAGGCAGGAGAACGGCGTGAACCCGGAAGGCGGAGCTTGCAGTGAGCCAAGATCGCGCCACTGAACTCCAGCCTAGAAAAAAAAAAGAAAGAAAAGAAAAGAATGTAGATCAGATCTTGAAATTGATTGAGCAGTGGATCAAAGATCATAACTCTTGACTTATAAGGCCAGCTACTTTATAATCACTCTTGTTGATATCGCTCTGCCGACATCATGGAAATTGTTCAAGTATATCAGTAACACTTTATTAAAATCATGCTGCAGGACTAGCAAGTGGATAATATATAGGTTTATGCCTGTGTTTCTTTTTCTCCATGAGAAACCTAAACATCTGAAATATAATGAATAAATATTATTAAGGATTGAGACAAAAACTGTAATTTTAATACTCAAATTGCTAAAGAATAAATCAATCTGACAAAATGAGTGGATATCTTTTAAGTTTATTACAGAAAAAAATGCAGACGATCTCTTAAAATAAAACTAAAGACTAAAGAGAAAGCATCAGAGTATTTTTTCTTTCTTTAAATTAGAAAATAGGGGAAGTGTTGTACTCTATACAAAATTCAAAAGGTACAAAGGAGCATATTGAAAAGTTAGGTCTTCCTTCCAGACCACCATATCCCCAGGCATTCCAGGATCTTTCACTTTAGGAAATAATGGAACTTATTTCCCATATGTCTTTTCAGAGTTTTTATGCCTGGACAGTGTATATGTATGTGTGTACATTTTTTTAAGAATATAGTAGTATATTGCAAACACTATTCTGTAGCTTTCTTTTTTTACTTAATATATTTGGAGATTATACCATCTCAGTACAGACCTCCCTGTTCTTTTCTTTTTTAGCTGAGATATACATATCATACAATAAAAGTTACAATTTTGACGTGTATAATCAGAACTGGGTATGGTGGCTTATGCCTGTAATCCCAGGAGCTGAGGAGGCTGAGGTGGAGAATTTATTGAGGCAGGAATTCAAGAACAGCCTGGGCAACTTTGTGAGACCTTAGACTCTAAAAATAAACATAAATAAAATGTATAATCCATTGGTTTTTAGCTTATTAACAAGGTTATGACTGTCACCACTGTGGGAGAAGCAGTGATGATAAAGAGAAATCCTATACCCTTTAGCAGTCACTCTCTATTCTTTCCTCCTCCTCCCTTTGCAATCACTAGTCTACTTTCTGTCTCTATGGATTTGCATATTCTGGGTATTTCATATAAATGGGATTATACAATAAAAAAGAAAGAAATTCCAGGAACACCAGACAGATGACATATGTTTTCTGCTTTATAATTTCACAACCTATGAAGGTTTAATACATTATTCTGCAAAAAATTTGACTGAAAAACTTTATGCCTAATCTTAAACATTTAAACTCTATATGCCAACAATCTCTACTGTAGGGCGATTTATTGTATGTACTCATTTTATGGATTCCTTACAAAAACTTTTCCCATAAGGGAAATTAGAACATTGCTGAACATATATTGAATTCCCAATTATTAACTTATTTCTCATTTATTATTTTGTGATTCTGTCTTCTTTAACATAAAGATTACCATGACTGTGTTTTCACTTTCTGAATTGTCATATGTCTGTAATTTGTCTGTAATCTTAGTTTTAGAAGTTCTACAATAACATGATCAAGGCCTGGCACAGTGGCTCACGAATGAAATCCCAGCACTTTGGGAGGCAGAGGCGGGTGGATCATGAGGTCAGGAGTTTGAGACCAGCCTGGCCAACATAATGAAACCCCAACTCTACTAAAAGTAAAAAACAATTAGCCGGGCATGGTGGCATCTGCCTGTAATCATAACTAATCGGGAGGCTGAGGAAAGAGAATCGCTTGAACCTGTGAGGCAGAGGTTGCAGTGAGCCAAGATCGCGCCACTGCACACAAGCCTGGGCAAAAGAGCAAGACTCCATCTCAAAAAATAAATAAATAAAATAAATAAAATAAAATAACATGCTCAAATGTATATGTTATATATAAATTATATCATTTATTAAAATATTTGTCTTGTATGTTTCATCGACTTTAGGCACAATGTTATTATTAGCATTTCCTTCCGGTTTCCTCAACTTTTACCTGAATAATAGAACAACTTATAACCAATTTTATTTTATATACCAAGGTTTTATACCGTATTTACAATATATATATATAGTTATTGTATTTAGAAATGTAAGATTTTTCTTCTAAAGGCTAGATTACAGCCTTACAATTTTGTAAGAAAAGCAGCAATGGGCTGGGCATGATGGCTTACATCTGTAATCCCAGCACTTTGAGAGGTCAAGGCGGGTGCGTCACCTGAGGTCAGAAGTTTGAGACCAGCCTGACCAACATGAAGAAACCCCATCTCTACTAAAAATACAAAATTAGCTGGGCGTGGTGGCTCATGCCTGTAACCCCAGCTACTCGGGAAGCTGAGGCAAGAGAATAGCTTGAACCCGGGAGGCGGAGGTTTGCGGTGAACCGAGATTGGACCATCACACTCCAGCCTGGGCAACAAGAGTGAAACTCCGTCTCAAAAAAAAAAAAAAAAAAAAAAAAAAAAAAAAAAGAAAGAAAGAAAAGAAAAAATGAAAAGCAGAAATGTATCAATGTATCAGTAGCATAATTTAAAAGTTTCTCTAGTATTACTGAAATGCTTTTTTTTTTTTTATTATTTAATGGAAAAATTTATTTTTTCTTGTTTTTTTTTTAAGTTTTTTTTCTTTTAATACTTTAAGTTTTAGGGTACATGTGCATATTGTGCAGGTTAGTTACATATGCATACATGTGCCATGCTGGTGCGCTGCACCCACTAACTTGTCATCTAGCATTAGGTATATCTCCCAATGCTATCCCTCCTCCCTCCCTGCACCCCACAACAGTCGCCAGAGTGTGATGTTCCCCTTCCTGTGTCCATGTGATCTCATTGTTCAATTCCCACCTATGAGTGAGAATATGCGGTGTTTGGTTTTTTGTTCTTGCGATAGTTTACTGAGAATGATGGCTTCCAGCTTCATCCATGTGCCTACAAAGGACATGAACTCATCATTTTTTATGGCTGCATAGTATTCCATGGTGTATATGTGCCACATTTTCTTAATCCAGCCTATCATTGTTGGACATTTGGGTTGGTTCCAAGTCTTTGGTATTGTGAATAACGCCACAATAAACATACCAGTGAATGTGTCTTTATAGCAGCATGATTTATAGTCCTTTGGGTATATACCCAGTAATGGGATGGCTGGGTCAAATGGCATTTCTAGTTCTAGATCCCTGAGGAATCGCCACACTGACTTCCACAATGGTTGAACCAGTTTACAGTCCCACCAACAGTGTAAAAGTGTTCCTATTTCTCCACATCCTCTCCAGCACCTGTTTCCTGACTTTTTAATGATCGCCATTCTAACTGGTGTGAGATGGTATCTCATTGTGGTTTTGATTTGCATTTCTCTGATGGCCAGGGATGATGAGCATTTTTTCATGTGTTTTTTTGGCTACATACATGTCTTATTTTGAGAAGTGTCTGTTCATGTCCTTCACCCACTTTTTGATGGGGTTGTTTGTTTTTTTCTTGTAAATTTGTTGGAGTTCATTGTAGATTCTGAATATTTGCCCTTTGTCAGATGAGTAGGTTGTGAAAATTTTCTCCCATTTTGTAAGTTGCCTGTTCACTCTGATGGTAGTTTCTTTTGCTGTGCAGAAGCTCTTTAGTTTAATTAGATCCCATTTGTCAATTTTGTCTTCTGTTGCCATTGCTTTTGGTGTTTTAGACATGAAGTGCTTGCCCATGCCTATGTCCTGAATGGTATTGCCTAGGTTTTCTTCTAGGGTTTTTATGGTTTTAGGTCTAATGTTTAAGTCTTTAATCCATCTTGAATTGATTTTTGTATAAGGTGTAAGGAAGGGATCCAATTTCAGCTTTCTACATATGGTTAGCCAGTTTTCCCAGCACCATTTATTAAATAGGGAATCCTTTCCCCATTGCTTGTTTTTCTCAGGTTTGTCAAAGATCAGATAGTTGTGGATATGCAGCATTATTTCTGAGGGCTCTGTTCTGTTCCATTGATCTATATCTCTGTTTTGGTACCAGTACCATGCTCTTTTGGTTATTGTAGCCTTGTAGTATAGTTTGAAGTCAGGTAGTATGATGCCTCCAGCTTTGTTCTTTTGCCTTAGGATTGACTTGGCAATGCGGGCTCTTTTTTGGTTCCATATGAACTTTAAAGTAGTTTTTTCCAATTCTGTGAAGAAAGGCATTGGTAGCTTGATGGGGATGGCACTGAATCTGTAAATTACCTTGGGCAGTATGGCCATTTTCACAATATTGATTCTTCCTACCCATGAGCGTGGAATGTTCTTCCATTTGTTTGTATCCTCTTTTATTTCCTTGAGCAGTGGTTTGTAGTTCTCCTTGAAGAGCTCCTTCACATCCCTTGTAAGTTGGATTCCTAGGTATTTTATTCTCTTTGAAGCAATTGTGAATGGGAATTCACTCATGATTTGGCTCTCTGTTTGTCTGTTGTTGGTGTATAAGAAGGCTTGTGATTTTTGTACATTGATTTTGTATCCTGAGACTTCGCTGAAGTTGCTTATCAACTTAAGGAGATTTTGGGCTGAGACAGTGGGGTTTTCTAGATATACAGTCATGTCATCTGCAAACAGGGACAATTTGACTTCCTCTTTTCCTCATTGAATACCCTTTATTTCCTTCTCCTGCCCAATTGCCCTGGCCAGAACTTCCAACAGTATGTTGAATAGGAGTGGTGAGACATCCCTGTCTTGTGCCAGTTTTCAAGGGGAATGCTTGCAGTTTTTGCCCATTCAGTATGATATTGGCTGTGGGTTTGTCATAGAGAGCTCTTATTATTTTGAAATACGTCCCATCAATACCTAATTTACTGAGAGTTTTTAGCATGAAGGGTTGTTGAATTTTGTCAAAGGTCTTTTCTGCATCTATTGAGATAATCATGTGGTTTTTGTCTTTGGCTCTGTTTATATGCTGGATTACATTTATTGATTTGACAGACTGGCAAATTGGATAAAGAGTCAAGACCCAACAGTGTGCTGTATTCAGGAAACCCATTTCACGTGCAGAGACATACATAGGCTCAAAATAAAAGGATGGAGGAAAATCTACCAAGCAAATGGAAAACAAAAAAAGGCAGGGGTTGCAATCCTAGTCTCTGATAAAACAGACTTTAAACCAACAAAGGTCAAAAGAGACACAGAAGGCCATTACATAATAGTATAGGGATCAATTCAACAAGAAGAGCTAACTATCCTAAATATATATGCACCCAACACAGGAGCACCCCGATTCATAAAGCAAGTCCTGAGTGACCTACAAAGAGACTTAGACTCCCACACATTAATAATGGGAGACTTTAACACCCCACTGTCAACATTAGAAAGATCAATGAGACAGAAAGTCAACAAGGATACCCAGGAATTGAACTCAGCTCTGCACCAAGTGGACCTAATAGACATCTACAGAACTCTCCACCCCAAATCAACAGAATATACATTTTTTTCAGCACCACACCACACCTAATCCAAAATTGACCACATACTTGGAAGTAAAGCTCTCCTCAGCAAATGTAAAAGAACAGAAATTATAACAAACTAACTCTCAGACCACAGTGCAATCAAACTAGAACTCAGGATTAAGAATCGCACTCAAAACCTCTCAACTACATGGAAACTGAACAACCTGCTCCTGAATTACTACTGGGTGCATAACGAAATCAAGGCAGAAATAAAGATGTTCTCTGAAACCAATGAGAACAAAGACACAACATACTAGAATCTCTGGGATGCATTCAAAGCAGTGTGTAGAGGGAAATTTATAGCACTAAATGCCCACAAGAGAAAGCAGGAAAGATCTAAAATTGACACCCTAACATCACAATTAAAAGAACTAGAGAAGCAAGAGCAAACACATTCAAAAGCTAGCAGAAGGCAAGAAATAATGAAGATCAGAGCAGAACTGAAGGAAATGGAGACACAAAATACCCTTCAAAAAATTAATGAATCCAGCAGCTGGTTTTTTGAAAGGATCAACAAAATTGATAGACTGCTAGCAAGACTAATAAAGAAAAAAAGAGAGAAGAATCAAATAGATACAATAAAAAATGATAAAGGGGATAGCACCACCGATCCCACAGAAATACAAACTACCATCAGAGAATACTACAAACACCTCTACGCAAATAAATTAGAAAATCTAGAAGAAATGGATAAATTCCTCTACACATACACTCTCCCAAGACTAAACCAGGAAGAAGTTGAATCTCTTAATAGACCAATAACAGGCTCTGAAATTGTGGCAATAATCAATAGCTTACCAACAAAAAAGAGTCCAGGACCAGATGGATTCACAACCGAATTCTACCAGAGGTACAAGGAGGAACTGGTACCATTCCTTCTGAAACTATTCCAATCAATAGAAAAATAGGGAATCCTCCCTAACTCATTTTATGAGGCCAGCATCATCCTGATACCAAAGCCTGGCAGAGACACAACCAAAAAAGAGAATTTTAGACCAATATCCTTGATGAACATTGATGCAAAAATCCTCAATAAAATACTGGCACAATGAATCCAGCAGCACATCAAAAAGCTTATCCACCATGATCAAGTGGGCTTCATCCCTGGGATGCAAGGCTGGTTCAATATATGCTTTTTTTCTTTAAAACTTTCTCATCAAAGCTCTTTATGAATAATTATAATGTGTTTTCTTTGAAATGTTGCCCTAATTGTATCCAAACAATTCAAAATTCATGATTTTCTTGGATGCACAGTTAGAGTTGAAAATTGTAGTTGTCTAGAATTCTTTTCTATGTTTATTCAGGATTTTATGGGTTAAAGTTTCTCTTCCTTATGTTTTGTATTTTATACTTCTGTATTTTTTAGAGTAGGCTGCCTCACATCAGTTGTGTTTCTAGTTTCTACCTATGTATTATGGTTTTGAATTACAGTATCCAAATCAGAATTTTGGGAGTTAATGTTAATTTTAACTTTGTTTGCAATTTTGTATTTCTGTGTTTCATTTTTTAGGGTAGGCCACCTTACATGAGTTTACTGTTTTTAGTTTTAATTTATATATTATAATTTTGTATGACAATATTCAACTCTGTACACCTTAAGACAGTGTGGGACAAAAGTCAGCTATGAATCAGCCCTATGTCCTTTGTCAGTATAATTATCTGAGTGTTTGTTTGCTTGTGTAAATGTTACACCTATTTTGTTTATTATTTTTATATTTTTCTTCTTGGCTCATGGCCAATAATTGATTCTGTCTAGGTGAGTAGTCATGGAAATATTGTCCTAATTTCAACATCTTTATCTTATATTATCTTAGTGTGAAAGAAACAGTTTTGTGGTTTGAAGGTAATTTTTCAGAAAGTTTATAACTCTGTCTCTATTAGGTGTCTTATTTATTTATTTTTTTTAAGAGAGAGTCTTGCTCTGTCACCCAAAGTGCAGTGGCACAGTCTCCACTCACTGCAACCTCCACCTCCCAGGTTAAAGCATTTATCCTGCTTCAGCCTCCTGAGTAGCTGGGATTAAAGACATGTACCACCAGGCCTGGCTAATTTTTGTATTTTTAGTAGAGATGGGGCCAGGCTGGTCTTGAATTCTTAACCTCAAGTGATCTGCACACCTCGGCCTCCCAGAGTGCTGGGATTACAGGCCTGAGCCACTGCACCCTGCCCTCAGGTGTCATTTTTAATTTTAATTGTGGTAAAAATATGTAACATAAATCGATAATCTTAAATATTTTTTCTTATACAGTTTAGTCATGTTAAGTGTATTTTCATTGTTATGCAACATATCTGTAAAACTTTTTTATGTTGCAAAACTAAAACTCAGTATGTGAGAAATAAATTAATAATACCCATTTTTTTTTTACCACCTGGCTCCTCATAAAAACCATTCCATTTTCTGTTTCTAAGAGTTCCAATACTGTAGATATTACATATAAGTGGAATCATAGAGTATCTGTTTTATTGTGGCTAAGTTTACTTAGCATCATATGCTCAAGGTTTATCTTTATTGTGGATGTCACAAGATTTTTTGCTTTGAAAAGCTGAGTAGTTTTCCATTACTTTAATATTACAAATTGTATTTACTCATTCATTCAGTGAGGAAAGTTTGTTTTGCTTTCAAATATTGGCCTTTGTGAATAATGCTTCAATGAATATAGGTGTTCCAATAACTATTTGCCCATATGTGTGAGGTTTGCATCTGTGCTACATTGTGTTTTATTGGAAAACTAGTCTGTCTTTATGTCAGAACCAAATTGTTTTTATTACTGTAGCTTTTAATGTGCTTTGAAATCAGAAAATATGAGGTCACTAACATTATTTATTTTGTTAAACATTTTTTGGCTCTTTATTGTCCCTTGAGATTCCATATAATTTGTTGGTTGTTTATTGGGGTAAATTCAGCCAGATATCAGGCAAAATTCACCTCCGATATTTCACATAGGTTCTTTTCTATTTTCCCCAAGCGCCAGCTGGTTTGAGAAATAAAGGGACAGAGTACAAAAGAGAGAAATTTTAAAGTTGGGCATCCAGGGGAGACATCACATGTCGGTAGGTTCTGTGATGCCCCACAAGCCGCAAAACCAGAGAGTTTTTATTAGGAATTTTCAAAAGGGGAGGGAGTGTATGAATAGGGTGTGGGTCACAGAGATCACTTACTTCACAAGGTAATAGAATATCACAAGGCAAATGGAGGCAGGGTGAGATCACAAGACCACAGGACCGGGGTGAAATTAAAATTGCTAATGAAGTTTCGGGCACCATTGTCATGGATAACATCTTATTGGGAGACAGGGTTTGAGAGCAACCAGTCTGACCAAAATTTATTAGGCAGGAATTTCCTCATCCTAATAAGCCTGGGAGAACTATGGGAGACTGGGGCTTATTTCACCCCTACAGTTTCAACCATAGAAGATGGCCACACCCAAGGGGGCCATTTTAGAGGCCCACCCTCAGGGGCACATTCTCTTTCTCAGGGTTGTTTTTTGCTGAGAAAAAGAATTCAGTGATATTTCTCCCATTTGCTTTTGAAAGAAGAGAAATATGGCTCTGTTCCGCCTGGCTCACCAGTGGTCAGAGTTTAAGGTTATCTCTCTTGTTCCCTGAACATTGCTTTTATCCTGTTCTTTTTTCAAGTTGGCCAGATTTCATATTGTTCAAACACACATGCTCTACAATTTGTGCAGTTAATGCAATTGTCACAGGGTCCTGAGGTGACATACATCCTCCTCAGCTTATGAGATGACAGGATTAAGAGATTAAAGTAAAGACAGGCATAGGAAATCACAAGGGTATTGATTGGGGAAGTGATAAGTGTCCATGAAGTCTTCACAACTTATGCTTAGAGATTGCAATAAAGACAGGCATAAGAAATCATAAAAATATTAATTTGGGGAACTAATAAATGTCCGTGAAATCTTCACAATCCACATTCTTCTGCCATGGCTTCAGCTGGTCCCTCCATTTGGTCCCTGACATCCTGCAACAGTTGCTTTTCCTATTTAAAAAAAAAAAAAAAAAAAAGGTAATTTAAAAGGGATTGCATTGAATCTGTAGCACCCTAGGAAGTATGAACATCTTCACAATATTAAGTCTTACAACCCTTGAACATGAGCATGCTCAAAAGTGAGTTGTTTAATTTCCATATATGTTGACATTTTTGTTTTCTTGTTACCAATTTCTAGTTTTATTCTATTTTGATCAGAAATAATAGTCTAAGATTTCTATTTTTAAAAAATTGTTAAGTCTTGTTTTGTGGCCTAATAGGCGGTGTGTCTAGGAGAATGTTTTATGAGCTATTGAGAAAATTGTGTGTTTTGCTGTTGTTGTGTATTTTGTATATTCCCATTAGGTCTAATTTTTCTCTAGTGTTTTCAAAACTTTTGTTTTCTTATTAATATTTAGGCTAGCTTTATTATTTATTATTAAAAGTTTGTATTAAAGTATTCTACTATTATTTTTCTGTCTATTGTAATAATTATTTCAATGTTTGCTTTATACATTTGGAAACACCGGTGTGATAATTTTATATATATATATACACACACACACACACACACACACATATAATAAAATTTCATATGTTCTCAGTGAATGAGCCCTTTTATTATTATTTAATGTCCTTCTTTGTCTCCTGTGACAGTTTAGACTTAAAGTTTATTTATTTTTATTTATTTATTTATTTATTTTTTTGAGGAAGAGTCTCACTCTGTCACCCAGGCTGGAGTGCAGTGGCGCAATCTTGGCTCACTGCAAGCTCCACCTCCTGCCTCAGCCTCCTGAGTAGCTGGGACTACAGGCACCCGCCATCACGCCTGACTAACTTTTTGTATTTTTAGTAGAGACAGGGTTTCACCGTGTTAGCCAGGATGGTCTCCATCTCCTGACCTCGTGATCTGCCTGCCTCGGCCTCCCAAGTGCTGAGATTACAGGTGTGAACCACCGTGCCCAGCAGACTTAAAGTTTATTTTATGAACTGTGACTAAAATGTATTTTGCCTAACAAAGCTGTGACCAGCACTGCTCTCATTCGATTTCCATTTACATCTAAAGTCTATTTTCATCTTGCTACTTTCAGCCTAGTTTTGACATTAGATCTGAAGTGAGTCACTTATGGAGAGGATAAAGTTGGGTTTTATTTTATTAATCCCTCTATTCAATTTACATGTTTTGATTGAAAAGTTTAGTTCTTACATATTAAAATATGTTTTTGAAAGTGAAGAGCTTACTTTTGTCATTTTTTATTATACTTTAAGTTTTAGGGTACATGTGCACAACATGCAAGTTAGTTACATATGTATACATGTGCCATGTTGGTGTGCAGCACCCATTAACTCTTCATTTAACATTAGGCATATCTCCTAATGCTATCCCTTCCCCCTCCCACCACCCCACAGCAGGCCTCGGTGTGTGATGTTCCTCTTCCTGTGTCCATTTGTCATTGTTTTCTCTGATTTTTATAGTAATGTTGTCCCCTTTACCCACTCCTTTTAATCATCCCTCTTGTCTTGATTTTTGTAGTGACATACTTTAATGTATTTGTGTGTGTGTGTGTCTCTCTAAATATTTTCCTTGTGGTTACCATGGGGATTACATAAAACCTCTTTTTTTTTTTTTTTTGAGAAGGAGTCTGACACTGTCACTCAGGCTGGAGTGCAGTGGTGCGATCTCAGCTCACTGCAACCTCTGCCTCCTGAGTTCAAATGATTCTTCTGCCTCAGCCTCCCCCAGAGCTGGGATTACAGGTGCCCACTGCCACACCTGGCTAATTTTTGGTATTTTTAGTAGAGACGGGTGGGTTGTTTACCATGTTGGCCAGGCTGGTCTCAAACTCCTGATGTTGGGATTTGCCCACCTTAGCCTCCCAAAGTACTGGGATTATAGGCATGAGCCACTGTGCTTAGCCCATAAAACCTCTTAAAGTTACAATATATTTTAAATTGGTAACAACTTAACGTTTTTTTTTTTTTTTTAAATCAGAGTCTCTGTCACCCAGGCTGAGCACAATGGCATGATCTCAGCTCACTGCAACCTCTGCCTCCCGGGTCCAAGTGATTCTCCTGTCTCAGTTTCCCGAGTAGCTGGGATTACAGTAGCCCACCACCATGCCCAGCTTATTTTTTGTATTTTTAATAGAGAAAGGGTTTCACCATGTTGGCCAGGCTGGTCTCAAACTCCTTACCTCAGGTGATCCACCTGCCTCACCCTCCCAAAGTGCTGTGATTACAGGCGTGAGCCACCACGCCTGGCCAGTAACAACTTAACTTTAGTTGCATACAAACATTCTTTCTCTTTCCATCTGCCTCAACTCTATATTATTGATGTCACTAATGTCTTTTTATATTATATATCATTAACAACTGTTGTTGAATATTTTTCAGCTTTTTAAAATTATGTAACATAATTACATATGTTTTATGAACCATCATTTGAATTTATCAGAAGTTTATTTTTGTGCCTGTATATGTCTTTTCCAGAGAGTTACATACTTTCAGGTAATTTTGTGATGCTGTTTAGCATCACTTTATTTTTCATGAATAAACTCTCTTTAGCATTTCTTGTAGTGCAGGCCTAGTGGTGATATGGTATTGTAGTATATGGTCAT